>NC_000012.12:115490431-115641946 GCF_000001405.40 Homo sapiens
GAGATGACAATTGCACAACGGTGTAAATATACCAAGTGCCACTAAATTATTCGCTTTAAGATGGTTTAATTTATGGTATGTGAGTTTCACCTCCATTTTTTAAAAGTCAGCTTATTTGGCTGCTATAACTAGCCCACACTTTCTCACGGGGTACTTTAGTCTTCCATTAACCACTTTCAGAGAACCACTGGGTACTGATGGTTGACTGGGTGCAAGCATCCAACATGTGTATTAGATGCAACTTTATTTTGCCGGCATCCATGGGGTCCCATCATTTTTTGTTGGATAACCTGCACAGCTAAAAATCTGGAATCCCGAAGACCAAAGTTTTATGCTCCCTTTATTCGGCACCCTTTTAGAGGATGTCTTCTTTCTTGCAGTGTTTTAGTGAAACCTTTGGATTTGATTCCAAGCAGAATGCAAGCAGGCACTGCTTGGAAACAGTAAGATCAGTAAAGTAGATGATACATTTTTAGGTTCCACACCAAACCCACACCAGAGTCCTTTCAACTTAGAACCTGGTAAAAAGGATTAGCTGTTTGTCATCCGCAAGGCCACACGAAAGCTACTCTGTCTGTTAAAAGACACCTGTATGCACACCCTGGTCCAAGGACCCTATACTCTCTGCCCTTTGATAAAACCAGATCTGCTTATATGGATGTTTGGCAAGGGAATAACAAACAACTGCTAAGAGAATAAGAGAGGTTTACTGGGGGGGAGGGGAGTGAGGCTAGACACGAGCACTTTGCATTGTATATCATCTGCACGGCTGATAGAGAATGAATTATTTCTTTCCAATTCGGCGCCATCATCCATCACAGTCAATTTTCAGCTCATCTGGAAGGTTTCAAGAAGCCCAGAATGGGATCAGTGCTACAAAACAGTCACAGCAGCTAGCCTTCTAAATGGATTACAGTGAATAAAAATATAAAAATAGTTCCCAGTTTAGAGGAAATTACTCTGCTACACCCTACACTCAAATTTCCTCATTTAATCCTCACAACAAACCTATGATGTAGGAAATTTAACTGTTTCCATTTTGCAGATGAGAAAACCAAGGCTCTGAGAGGTCAAAGGAAGGGTCTGTGGTCACACAGGTAGAAAGTGGCAGGTCTAGGAAATGAACATAGATTGCATCAATGCCAGGTCCTGCAGCTCAGTTGCGATGCTAATGGTACAAGCTCAGTAAGTTCTACACTTCTGCCTACACTCTCTCAGCCTGAAATTCACTTTGTTTTTAGTGGTGAACCGAAAGTGCGTCAGAAAAGGGAATTGCTCCCTTGGGGTCTTTTGTCTTTTCCGTCTTTCTTAGACTTATTCTCATAGCTAAGCATAAAGGTGACTTAGAAGACACATGATAGAGACTTGGAGACAAAGGAAAATATACGTTTTCAGTGTATTGAACTTGGTTCTTCCCAGTAGCACTAGTTCATCCCGAAAGTCCTGGCATTTGCAGGCAAAGGGAATCCACTGGAGAGAAGAAGTGAGCATGTAAGGCTGAGAGAAAGAGGCAGGCTTCCTCTTCCCTGGGTTAACTGCCCGGGACCTATTGGAGAGGTTGGGAGCAAGGAATATTTGTTCATTCTATAAATATTCATCCGTGCCTCCTCTGGCCTGGCCCTCTGCCATGTGCCAAGGTGTAACAACAAATAAGAAAAGACACAGTCCCTACCTTCAGTGGACTGCACACTATTGGAAATGTAGATTAAATAACAATTGTAAATTCTGGCTGTGATGAGTGTTATGAAGAAAACATACAAGATGCCATAAGAACATTTAAAAAGAGCCAGAATCAGAGCAAGTATAGGAGGAAGAAGGCTGCAAGTGACAGAAAACTCCAACATGACAGTGGCTTAAACAAGGTAGTTTAGGCTGGGCACAGTGGCTCAATCCTGTAATCACAGCATTTTGGGAGGCCGAGGTGAGCACATCATCTGAGGTTATGAGTTTGAGACCAGCCTGGCCAACATAGTAAAACCCCGTCTCTACTAAAAATACAAAAATTAGCTGGGCATGGTGGCAGGTGCCTATAATCCCAGCTATTTGGGAGGCTGAGGCAGGAGAATCGCTTGAACCCAGGAGGCAGAGGTTGCAGTGAGCACCATTACACTCCAGCCTGGGCAACAAGAGTGAAACTCTGTCTCAAAAAAATAAAACAAAACAAAAAAAGGTAGAAGCTTATCTCTTCAGCATTTAACAGAAGTTGAGAGATGGCAGATCAAGGCTGACATGGCAGGTGAGTGGGGACATGAGGGACCCAAGACTCAATTTTTGCCCTACTTTCTGGCACATAATCTAGTCTCATGGCTGCCTCCTGGTTCAAAATGGCTGCTAGAGTGCCGGCCATCACATTCAACTTGCAGCTTAAAGCAGAAGGAAAGGCAGAGGGGCAAAATAGGCTTCTCCCAGCCAGATCAACACCCCATAAACTGTCTTCCCAGGGCTGGGTGTGGTAGCTCACGCCTGTAATCCCAGCACTTTAGGAGGCTGAGGCAGGCAGATCACCTGAGGTCAGGAGTTTGAGACCAGCCTGGCCAACATAGTGAAACCTCATCTCTACTAAAAATACAAAAGTTAGCCAGACATGGTGGTGGGCACCTGTAATCCCAGCTACTCACGAGGCTGACGCAGGAGAATCACTTGAACCTGGGAGGCAAAGGCTGCAGTGAGCTGAGATTGCACCACTGCGCTCCAGCCTGGACGACAGAACAAGACTCCATCTAAAACAAAACAAAACAAAACAAAAAAACAAAAACCTGTCTTCCCAGGAGTTCCATATACCAGCTCTTCTTTTATTTCATCGACCAGAGCTTAATTGCATGGCCGCAGCACAAGTAAAGTTGGACAATGTAGTTGTTTATGCCTGGTGACCCTGTGCTCAGCTAAAAAGGGGGATTTCTGACACAGAAAGTTCAGAGTATTTGACAGTGCTTGGAATTTGGGGAAAGAAAACTTCAGTTCAAGCCCCTTCTATGTTACTTACCTTCTGTGTGAACTTAGGCAATTCCCTTAACCTCTCCAAACCAGTTTGCCCACCTGTGGAATGGGATCAACAGTATTCACTTCACAGTGGTGCTGGAGTCTTAACTGAGAAATGTAATTTGAGTGTAAGAGCTTTGCAAAGTCTAAAGCCAAGTGTGTGTCGGAAGAACCATTTTACTGCACAGAATATTTTCCCTTACTCATTTGATTCTCCAGTATCTGGCAAAACTAGAATATTTCCCGGGGGTTACTGTTCCAAGCTTTCTCTTCTAAAGATCCTGACAATGACCTTTCTGCTTAAAGGCTGTTCTTGGAGATAGAATTCAGGAACTTTCGACTGAGGCTTTGAATCATGATACTGGCATAGGGGTCAGGTAAGAGACATCCTACAAGAACAAGAGATAAGGCATACTTGTGAGGACATCAGAGGCCATAATCAATACCCCACATCACACTCAGAAGGAAACCCCCCGGGGCCAAGAGGGGGTCTGGTGTGCTTGGAAGGCCAGGAAAATATCCATGGTGCCTGGCTGCTGGACGGAGTTTCAGGGAGGCAATTTCTCTTAGAGCTGTATGAAGAGAAGAATCAAAAGGAACCTGAGTTGTTAGGAAAGGTGCTTAGAGAGGGAGAAGGATTTTAGCTATAGCAAAACCACTAACTGCTAACTGTGAGCTTACTGTGCATGAGGCACCCTGCTTTGCTCTTAACATGTAATATTGTGCTGAATCCTGGATAGAGCACCTTGAGGATGTCATTTTATGTTCCCCCATTTACAGATGAAAAGTTTCATGTAGGTGGCAAAGTGGCTTGCCCAAGGTCATGCAGCTAGTAAGTGGTACAGATAGGACAAGTTATGATAGATAAGCAGGAACAGAAAACGCATTTCGTGTAACAGGGATCTATGAGCGAAAACCAAGAGGCTGAAAGTGCATGGTATAGTGAAGCCATGAAGAAACCAATTCAAATAGATCAGGTGGTTCATGGAAGGGGATGGGATAGGAAAAAGTAAGTCCAAACCACATAATGGAAAGCATTGAATTCTGGGGTAAGATCCTTAGACTTTACTCCAAAGGTAGCAAGAAGCCATGGGAGGTTATTGAGCAGGATTGTGACACAATAAAGGAAGACTTGGGGACATTTTTCCTGAGCAGGCTGTTTAAAATGGATTCTCCAAGTTATTATTGGCCCCATTGAGCAGATGAGGAAACTGAGGTTACAAGAATTTCATGAGCTTTCTCAGGTCATAGAGCTAGGAAGTGGCAAGAGCAGATTTGAACCTCGGTTTTTTGTTTATCCCACCGCATGGTAGGCAATGGTATTTCCAAGATTTAAAAAGTCACACACATTAAGTCAAAATGTCATTAAACCCTTGGCATAGCACATCATCCAGGTTACCATGATGTCAGGCGAAGGACGATCAAGAAGAAGCCAGGGTTTTAGTAGTGGTTGCAGGAGCAGGCCTTTTTCCAGGGGCCTACATGTGGGGCACACGTGTAGGTTAAATTCTGAGGGCAACTTTCTGAGGGCTACCTGCATGCATCTTTGCCAAGACTGATCCCTCAGTGACCTATGGTCTTACCTGCCTCTCATCCCTGGGGAGGAGGAAGAAGCAGAAAGATGTCTCCATTTGTCACCCTGGTAAAGCAAGTAGGGATGTGAAAGCTCCAAGACCGGGGAGGGCCCCAGAGGCCAGCATTCTAAAAAATAATTGCTCTATTATTTAAGCAAAGCCACTTAATAGCTCATTAAAGGGGCAAAGACGATTATTGCCCAGATTTTTATCTGGGGAATCTCATAGAAATGCCAGAGTCATATTTCCAGGTAACCGAAGAATCTGAAAAGTACAGCAAAAGCTGAATCACAAAAATCCAGGTCACTTTGGCTGACGACTTTTTCCCCTCTTGAGGGGTTCACTGTACTTGGGAATGACCATAAATGTAGCCAAAGTTATCGAGCATTTCATATTCAACAGGAATTGTACTAAATGTGTGCCCATCATGTCTTGAGGCTTCGCAACAGCCCTACACAGAAGGTGCATTTAGTAGACCATTTTACAGGTGAGGAAACTGAGACTTGAAAAGGTGATGTCATCACTTGCCAAAAGTAACTAGGCTAGTAGGTAGCAGAACTGGGACTCAAAAGTAGATGGTTTGTCCATTCTGTTCTCAACAGATCTTAGCTTCAAAGCCCAGTCAAGGGGATCTTCAATAAATTCTGGGGGATAGGTGATCATAGCTTTCTGTCATCCAGGGCTGAAATTACCAAGGAACATGACAACAAAGAACAGCCAAACTGATATGGATGTGGAAAAGGGTAACAGACCTTGTGTTTTGCCAACCTTCATTTTGTAGCTCTCTGCATTGACAGTCACATTTCACCCAGCCAGGATCCTCCCTCTTCAAGTAGCCTTCCCTGATCCACTGGAAAGAACTCACATCTTCACCCTTGGAACTACCCATGTTGCTTACAACCTTGGCTCATTCATTGCAGACTGGGCTTAAAGCTGGAGAGACAGGAGAGTAGAGAAATATACACAGATAGGTAGACACTATTTGCTGAGCACTAACAATGTGCTAGGCACAGTGTCAAAGACTTTATGCCAAGGTAAGCATTGCCAGCTCATATTATAGAGGAGAAAGCTGAAACTCAGAGACAGGAGGTCAGCGGCCCTCATCCCCCAGCCAGTCAACTGCAAAGCAGAGATTCAGGTCTCCAGGTCTCCTGGGCAGGCTGCAGGTCTGTTTGCTAAGCCCACAAAGGGTTAAGCGGTTGCCCTTGACGCTCAACTCTCACTAGGCAGGAAGAGGATAAAGGAGGGATGCCCATTCCATGTGTATAGACCTAGAATCCGCAAACTAAGGCCTGAGGGCCAAATCCACTTACTGCCTGTTTTTGTATGTCCCGTGAGCTAAGAATAGTTTCCACCTTTCTAGAGAGTTGATAACAATAATAATAAGAATAATATTTTGGCTGGGCACAGTGGCTCACACCTGTAATCCTAGCACTTCGGGAGGCCAAGGTGGGCAGATCACCTGAGGTCAGGAGTTTGAGACCAGGCTGGCCAACATGGCAAACCCTGTCTCTACTAAAAATACAAAAGTTAGCCAGTCATGGTGGCATGTGCCTGTAATCCCAGATACTCAGGAGGCTGAGGCAGGAGAATCACTTGAACCTGGGAGGCAGAGGTTGCAATGAGCCGAGATTGTGCCACTGCACTTCAGCCTGGGTGACAGAGCAAGACTCCATCTCAAAAATAAAAATAAGGACTATTTTATGGCACATAAAGGTGATATGAAATTCAAATTTTAGTGTCCACAGATTAAGTCTTAGTGGAGCACAATTACACTCATTCATTTACATATTATCTAAGACTGCTTAGACTTTACAAAGGCAGAGATGAAAGTAATTGTCACAAAGACCATGTGGTGCACAAAGCTTGAAATATTTACTGTCTTACCTTTTAAGGAAAAGTTTGCCAACCTGTGGTGCAGATCATGAAAGTTCAACCTATTGGCATCATCTTGGCAAGTTCAAGGATGTGCAATGGCAGAAAAATCCTGGCTTCTTGGGAAAGGAAGAGATAGAGAAATACACAGACCTCCAGGAGTATCGCACAAGGGGTCACACCCTTAGAGGCAGTCAGGAGCACACAGATATCTAGGCATAAACCCACAGAGAAAAGCAAACATCAAGAGGACATGCAGAGACACACAGATATGGATAAATATCCTAGTGTACACACTCAAAAGCTTGGAGCCACCCAGGTGTAGTAGACACACAAGCATCTAAGTAAACACACACACACATACATAGGGGAAACACACACATACATAGAGGAAACCCTTCATGCACATAGACACAAACTCCCAGGGCCCCAAAAAGAACATGCCAGCTACCAGGTTTACAAATATATGTGATACTACATATGCATGGAGATATATACAGAGCCATCCAAGCACATATACACACACAGAGGGAACCCACAACTGTCCAGGTATGCTCTCACAGGTAAAGAAAGCAATGTCAGCTGCACAAGAATAACACAATAATTCAGAGAGAGCAAGAGAGAGATGAAAGGGAAGGAGGAGAGAAGAGGAATGAGAGAAAAGGAGGGAGGTAAGGAGAGAGAGAAAGAGAAAGAGAAGGACCAGGGACTCCTTTGGGGGCCTGGTGACACCTATAGACCCCTTCTCATAAAAACATTTCTAAATGATTAAAAACAATGCCTGTTCCATTGACATAAAGTTCTCTTCTAGAGTTGTGCAGAAGAGCCACCTCCTGCAATGACCCAAAACCTGTTCCTTCCTTCCAAGGCCTCCTTGTTCCTCATGACCTCTTGCATTGTTGTGCAACCATCACCACCATCCATCTCTAGCACTCTTCGTCTTGCAGAAACTAAAACTCTATACTCATTAAATGAGAATTCCCCTTGCCCCCATTTGCCAGCCTTTGGCAACCACCATTCTGCTTTCTGTGTCTGTGAATTTACTCCAAGTACGTCAGATAAATGGAATCATACAGTATTTGCCTTTTGGTGACTGGCTTATTTCACTTAGCATAATGTTCTCAAGTCTCACCATGTTGTAGCATGTGTCAGAATTTCCTTCCTTTTAAGACTGAATAATATTCCACGGTGTGTATAGACCACATTTTGTTCATCCATAGATGGATACTTGGGTCGATTGCACCTTTTTTTTTTTTAGACAGTCTCACTCTGTCGCCAGGCTGGAATGCAGTGGCACAATCTCGGCTCACTGCAACCTCCGCCTCCCGGGTTCAAGTGATTCCCCTGCCTCAGCCTCCCGAGTAGCTGGGACTACAGGCGTGTGCCACCACTCCCGGCTAATTTTTTTTTTTTTTGTATTTTAGTACAAAATACTACATGGGTTTCGCCACGTTGGCTCTTGATCTCCTCACCTCATGATCCACCCACCTCGGCCTCCCACAGTGCTGGGATTACAGCCGTGAGCCACCACGCCTGGCCGATTGCACCTTTTGGAGACTGCAACTAATGCTTCTATGAACATGGGTGTGCAAATATCTCTTTAAATCCCTGCTTTCAATTCTTTGGGGCATATATGTAGGTGGGATTATTGCACCATGTGGTAATTCCACTTTTAAGTTATTGAGAAACTGCCTAGATCTGTGATTGTTCAAAGATCACTCGGGTTGCTCCACGCAGAATGGACTAACAGGAGGCAAGAGCTGAGAGGCTCATTAAGGCCACTAAGGTTGTCCATCAAGACCAAAAGAGATGGAGACTTTGTGTAAGATGATGGCTGCAGATGGAGAAAATGGGCATATCAGAAGCACAAATGAAATTTCCCATTAGATAACTCTTTTCCATTAGATAACTTCAAGCTCCTAATTAATGAAAAACTGTTTAGATAATGGCAAGGAGATTGCTGGAGCAAGCTGGAAGTTTTCAGCCTTCAGAAAGTGGATGTCTACAGTGGTGAATCGCATGAACTTTGAGGCCCGCCCACCTGAGTTTAAATCCTGGCTCTGCTTCATCTCTCTAGGCCTCAGTTTCTCATCTGTAAAAAGGAAATAAAATATCTATCTTTTGGGGTTTGTGAGGATTAAATGTGATAATCTGGGGGCAGTGTCTTGACTAAAGTAAATCCCACTAACCTCTAGATGGTTATGCTACACCAACCACATCTAAAAAAGTATATATTAGACACGTAGCCTGCCTTCATGCTGCCCTTAGCCAGGATGGTTTGGGATGGTGGCAGTGGCACATGCTCCAAGTGTCTTGTCACTTCAGCTGGGTGGCCAAGGAGTCAGTACAGCAGAGGGCCTTTCCTCTCTGCTTCCATAATCCCATCTGCATCGCCCCCAGCCCTCACCAGCCCTTCCCACCTTGGTCCCCTCCAGTGATTGACAGGCTTCTGAATTATGAAAAATGAATGAGAGATATTGCTATCTCTGCTTGAGCCTCACCGCCATCCTTCAAAGGAGTGGGAAGGTCTTTCTGTGCAGGAAAATCTATAAAGTCCTCAAAAGAACCATGTTCTGCCCTTCTCAGCAGCCTCTTTCAGCTCCATTCTCCCTCATCAGACAGCTGTCTCCTGCTGTCTATCCAGGTGGCAGGCTGGAGGGTGGGGGCAGGGAAGGGGGGAAGGTAATGGAGTTGGGGGGAGAGGAAGTGCCACCTGCCAATCTCCATCACCTCTGCACCCTCTTGCTGCTGCCTCCACTGGGAAGTGCTTTCCTCATTTGTATGTTGACAGATAGCCCAGCTTCTGGGTATTAACCACCTGCCTGGATAATCATCTCCTCTTTTAACCTCCGTGACCATTCTTCCCTCTAGGCCAACTCAATGCAAAAACACAGCACTCAGACCTGGTTCTGGGTGCTCAAGTTCACGGTTGCATTCAGCGTCATGGTTCCAGGTCAGAGTGTCCAGGCTTCAAACAGTGACTCCACCACCTACTAGCTGGGTTCACTTTGGGCAAACGATTATAATGGTCCTCAGTTTCCTTCTTGTTATTGGATTGAATTGTGTCCTCCCAAATTTTATATGTGGAAGTTTTAACTCCTAGTACTTCAGAATGTGACTTTATTTGGAAATCGGATCATTGAGATTTAATTAGTTAAAACGAGGTCCTGTTGGAGTAAAATGGGCCCCTAATTCAATATTAACAGGGGAAATTTGGACATAGGCCTGCAAATTGGAAGAACACCATGTGAAGACTGAAGTTACGCTGACACAAGTCAAAGGACTACCAGAAGCTAGAAGAGAGGCCTGGAGCAAATTATTCCTGCTGTGTTCAGAGGGAGCATGGCCTTGCCAACATCTTGAACTTGGACTTCAAGCCTCCAAAAGTATGAGACAATACACTTCTGTTGCTTAAGCCAACTAGTTTCTAGCATTCTTTTATAGCATCCCTGGGTAAATAATACACATCTCTTACAAAATAAGTAGTCTAGAACAGTCCTCAGTATGTAGTGAATGATATTTAAGTATTTGCTGTTACTGGCTTTGTGGTCTCTGGAGGAGTCTTCTACCTCTCTGAGCGCTTTATCTTCCTCTCATCTGAAGGAAGACCAGTAGCTCTAACTTTCAAGGACCTATATATGGCAAAGACAGTGGAAGAAACAAACATCTCTTTTCTTTCCTTAATTTTTTTAAATTTTAAGTTCTGGGATACATGTACTGAACGTGCAGGTTTGTTACATAGGTATACAGGTGTCACGGTGGTTTCCTGCAGCTATCAACCTGTCATCTAGGTTTTAAGCCCTGCATACATTACGTATTTGTCCTAATGCCCTCCTTCCCAAACCTCCCCTTTCTTATATAGATTATTCAATCCTTCACTCTTTTATTAATTCATTCAACAACCACTGGGGATACAGCATGTATATAAAAGTCAAAATCTGTGCCCTCAGAAGCTCACATTCGAATGGTGGAAAACAAAAGAAATACGGTGAATAAATGAATATGGTAGATGAGATGTGTTCAAGTGGAAATGAATGCCACACAGAAAACTAAGACTGGAGAATGGAATCTATTTTAATAGGGAGAGCAATGCAATTTTAAGTGGACAGTCCAGAAGGCCTGTTATCACCGTAGTGTTCATTTGAGTAGAGACTTAAAGGAAGTGAGAAAGTCAGTCATGTGGATATCTGACGGAACAGTGTTTCTGGCAAAGGGAATTGCGTGGGCAGGAGTGTGTTTGGTTTGTTGGAGAAATGACAGAAAACGAAGCCCTGCAGAAATGATAGTAAGGATGGTGGGAAGCAGGGTGAGTTACAGAAGCACCAAGGATTCTGGATTCTCCTGGAGGGGGAAATTAATAAAACTTGGAGCTACTACATTTGAGTACTTACTATGTGCTGGGCACTATCTTTTTTAACCTTCAAACAACCTTATGGGTTATAAGTAGAAACATTATCCCCATTTTAGCAGATAAGGAAATTGAGTCACAAAGAAGTCATAGATCCTGCCTGAGGTCACAGATCTAGTAGGTGGTGGGTCCAGGGGTTTTTCCTTACATATTCATAGGGAACTCAGAAGCAGAGGCCATTTCAACATAGTCGGGTTGAAGGCTTGGCTTACTTGCATGAATGGAGAAACGGGGAAGAGTATTCTAGGACAAGAGAACAGCATAAACAATGATAAGGAGGGATAGACATGCTAGATCTCACCATAGAGCCATAGCCATAGAAGCTAGATTTCTAGATAATCATGCAGTGAAAATTCCTTTCCTCATTTAACATACATTTAATGAGCAACTACTGTGTGCCAATATTTGCTGTAGTACTAGGAATGTAATGCTGAACAAGGCAGAAAAGATTCCTGTCCGTATGGTGCTGACATGGGCATCCCCATTTTACAGATGATCCAATGGATGCTTAGTGAGTTTAACTGGTGGCCCCAGGTCAGTGGGTTTAATTGGTGGCTCCAGATCATGTAGCTTGCAAAGAGAGAAGCCAGGATTCTGGCAGTGCCGGGTTTTCCACTTCTATGAGGTCTTTTCTTCAAGTATATGTAGCTCAAGGGTCAGGGACTTGCTCTCAGACCTGTCCTGGCTCTTCCTCTCCTGCCCGTACCCCACTGATGGGCAAGTAGGAATGGTATCTTGAGAAAAGTCTGGCTGCAGAGGGGGCCTTGGAGACAAAGCCAATGTGTCTCCCATTTTCCCACTCTTGATCTCTCAGTCTCTTGGCCTATCCTTTGCCTCACCAACACCTCTACAATGATTTCAGAGGAGAACTCCCATCTGTCGAGCCCTTTACATTTTCCTATTCATCCTCATGCCTCTCACTTCCATGGCCCCACAAGCCCATGAGGTCGGTATAATGATTGTCCCCCTTTTACAGATCTGAGT
This sequence comes from Homo sapiens, assembly GCF_000001405.40. NCBI lineage: Eukaryota > Metazoa > Chordata > Mammalia > Primates > Hominidae > Homo > Homo sapiens. The sequence goes on from NC_000012.12 coordinate 115,502,252, forward strand.
ACCTTGGAGCTAGGAGTGGGGCAGGGATTTAGCGAAGATGGTCTAACCAAAGGCCAATGGAGACTTGATGTCTTATTTCTAATCTCAGGTCCTGTGCTCCTGTGGCTGATATAAACTTGAATATTTTTCTTTTTTTATCAAACACCTTCAATGGCTATCACTACCCTGAGGATGAAGCCCAGTCTCTGTAATATAGCCTACAATGTCCTTATGGAAAGTGACCCTTGGGATGTCTCTCAATCCTCATCTCTCACAGTTCCCCAAGAGGAACTCCATGCTTCAGTTGCAGTAAACCCCATTATCTCACCCCTGGGCCTTTGCATACGCTGTTTCCTGTTCCCCAACTGCTCTTCTCGAGCCTCTCAGCCAGCATAACTCTCCTCATCCCCCAGTCTGCACAAGGACCCCCTCTGCTGAGCTCTCACAGTCCACATTCTAAACTCAATTGCCCCTGAGGCAATTGCTCCATTGTTCATCAGTTTTCTCCTGGCCTGGGAGCACCTTAAAGGCTCTGGGTCCCTGGTGTGTGGTAGATGCAGGACACATCAATCAAGGCAGAATGCAGAATCTAAACTCAATTCCTATCTCCATCATTTACCCACAGGGTGACTAGGGTGGCAGCCTCCAAGATGGCCTTCAATATTTCCCACCCCTTGGCATTCCCAACTTTGTTCAAGTCCCTCCCTTGTTGTATCAGGATTGGGCAGTGTGACCCACAGAATATGGCAGAAGTGATAGTATGTCACCTCTGAGGTTAGGTCATAAAAGAGAGTATGGCTTCTTCCTTCTCTCTTGAATCACTTGCTCTGGAGGAAGCCAGCTGCCATATTGTGAGGATGTCAGGCAGCTCTGAGGAGAACCTCACATGGCAACAAACTGAGGCCTCTTACCAAACAGCCAAGGCAGATCCTTCACCCTAGTCCAGACTTCAGATGTGGGCCAACCATTTACCAACACTTTAAAGTTCTGGTAATTTGTCAATGCTTTAAGGAATTAATTTATGTAAAGTGTCTGGTATTTAGAAAAAACTGCTTATACATTTGCTATTATTTACAAAATTATTTTATTTAAACACCACAATCCCCTAAGAGAAAGACTATTATTCCCATCTTACAAATGATCATACTGAAGCTTAGAGAGGTCAAGCAAATTACATAAGGTCATATAGTTAGCTATGGTCGTGTAACAAGTTAGTCCAAAAGTTAGCTGCTTAAAAAAGAAAAAAAATCTTATCATTTCTGTGAATCAAGAATTCTGGAGTGGCTTAACTGGGTGGCTCTGGCTGAGGGTTTCTCAGAAGGTTCCAGTCAAGATATTGGATTTTATTTTGAGATGGGATTTTGCTCTGTTGCCCAGGCCACAGTGAGCTATGTTTGTGCCATTGCCCTCCAGCCTGGGTAGCGGAGTGAGATCTCATCTCAAAATATAAAATAAATAAAATAAACGGAGGCTCAGAGAGGTAAAGTAACTTACCTAAGACCATACAGCTGCTAAGTGGCAGAGCTGGGATTGTGAACCGAGTAATCTGAGAGCCCCACTCGTCACTATGCTCTGCGCTGTCTCATGTATCAAGGACTTAGCTGGTTCCAGACATGTAGAAATCACTCAGTCAACATTAGCTAGTATCACAAAATGATTTTTGCTATTTCTTAATAACTCTTGCTGGTATTAATTCTCAAGTAACTAGTAAGTTCATTCCGTTGATCAATTAATGCTTTACCATAGAATTCTTTTTATCTCTGAGACCTTCCTTGATTTGTTCTAAGTTTGAGCTCCACCAGCCAGGAAACCCAGAGCTCACACGTTACCTACGCATGCTTCAGGCACTCCGCTACACACTTTACTAATGCTACCTCAGTTAATCCACCACCAGCCTCTGGTAATATCATGATCTTCATTTTACAGATGGGGAAACTGAGGCAATGGGGCAGCTGAGCAGGAGTTCCCCGTCCAAAGTCAGGTGGCTTTCACTGCCCATGCTGTAACCTACCATAGTTGCAGACCTGGCTCACAGGCATATCAGAAGGCCAGGGAAAAATCTTTCAATTTAACCACACCAAGACGCTCTCTGAATCTGGTCCTTTCTAAGCATATCTAGTGGTTTCCACCAAAACACATTTCCCAAGGCCTTCAGAGCAGCTTCTCGGCTCTATGAAACCCCCTAGCTGGGGCCTTCCTTCCTGTTTTAAGAAGTGAAAGCATAGAGACACCAGCCCAGGCCCAATATAGTTTCAGATCTAAATTTAACAACAATAACTCGGCTCCAGCCTGACCCTGCAGAGAAGAAAGGGGAGCAGGGAAAAAAAAAAAAAAAAGCAACGACTAATTCTTCACAAATTAGGACAATAATAAAGTTCCTTTCAAGTGTCAGCGCATATTCTTAGCAAGAGCGTAACACCTAAATCAAGTCCAGGCTGTAAAAACGGCATAATAGCAGGAAGCCAGGCTACAGGCCTGACTTCCTCTGGGGAGACAGGGGATTTGTGGGGGTGTCCGCAGGCTGGACAGGCAGGGATGGAGCCAGGCAGGGCCCAGCTCACTGGGAGGCACACACCTCTGTCTGGCCTCCACACTGAGCCCCATCTGGGGTTGCCCATACAGCCCCCTGCATAGGCCTTTGGCACTAGAGCTTTTAACAGTCATCAGCGTACTTCTTGTCCACCCTCTCAGCCTGTCTTCTTAGAATGGCCCAAGTGCACCTCTGAAAATGCTAGTCAAATGGGCAAAATGCACCTCGTGGAACAACACGAACAGGGAGCCCAATGGCCCAAGGGCCCAGCTGCTGCGCTCTGGAGCTCCCTGCATGAACAGGAGGCCGTGTGTTCTGTGGGCCATCCCCAGCCAATGTCTGAAAACGGCAGCATACTAAGGCAGGCCCGTTCCTGGGAGACGCAGAATTCCTTTCATAGTTCAAGGGCTCCCCATGGCTTTGATGAATCTTTCTTGGACAGCTTGGCAGCTTGGGATGCTTCCACCCAAGCTTCTCTGTATCTCCTTCACTAGGAATCAGACCTGTATACCAGTCCTCCAGCTAGCTCTCCTGCCTTTCCCAGCTCTCTCTCCATTTTCTCTCCAACAGGCACTTCTCCTAAAAAAAGCTTTCCACATTTAATCTCGTCTTGGCACCTGCATCTTGGAGGACCCAGATGAGCACATTGGGTGGTGTCGCTTCTCACTGTAACACCCTTCCAGGAGTTTCTTTTTTTGCCAGAAGAAAATCTAAATTCCTTGCACTGGCCTACAAGGCCCATGACACTTCTCTAACCCCAAATACTCTTCTCCTCCCCTTGATGGCATTCTTGCTATTCCTTGAACATCCCAAATTGTTTCTGCCTCGGGGCCTTTGCACCTGCTCTTTCTGCTGCCCAGACCACTCTTCTCTGGGCCTGGAAGCTTCTCACTCATCCAGCAGGTCTCAGCTTAAACATCACCTCCTCAGAGAGGTCTTACTTGATCGAAACAGGCTTCCTGTCTGTGCTCCCCAATCAATACCTACTCCTTACGCTGCGAAAACACATCAGACTTTGCACTTAGTTGATTTGTCTGACAGCCCTTCTTGAATGTAAGCATCTTGAAATATCATAGCCAGCATTTACTGAGGACTGACAAGGGGCCAGGCACTGGGTAAGAGCATCACATGTTTTAACTCATTCGATCCTCTCCCAATCCCTGTGAAGTGTAGGTAGTACTGTTGTTGCAGATGAAGAAACTGAGGCACAAGAATAAATGAATTTCCTGGGGTCATAAAACTGGGCAGCAGAAGAGCAGGGCCTGGATTCAGGCTCTCTGGCTCCAGCATCTGCCACCTCTGTGGGGATGCCGTTTTGCCTCTTGTGAAAAGATGACACCACTGTATACCAACAAGGATTTCCAGGGCTTCGCCCTGTGTCTGGCACTGAGTACACACTTTGCAAAATAGAGCTGCCAGAGGCGTTTAAACAACAGCAACTCCATCTTCAATAGGGGCTGGGTAAAATAAGGCTAAGACCTTACTATGCTGCATTCCCAGAAGGTTAGACATTCTAAGTCACAGAATGAGATGAGAGGTCAGCACAAGATACAGGTCATAAAGACCTTGCTGATAAAACAGGTTGCATTAAAGGAGCTGGCCAAAACCCATCAAAACCAAGATGGTGACGAGAGTGACCTCTGGTCGTCCCCACCGCTACACTCCCATCAGCGCCATGACAGTTTACGAATGCCATGGCAACATCAGGAAGTTACCCTGTATGGCCTAAAAAGGGGATGCATGAATAATCCACTCCTTGTTTAGCATATCATCAAGAAATAACCATAAAAATGGATAGCCAGCAGCCCTTGGGGCTGCTCTGTCTATGGAGTAGCCATTCTTTTATTCCTTTACTTTCTCAATACACTTGCTTTCACTTTCTTTACTCTATGGACTTGCCTCAAATTCTTTGTTGCACGAGATCCAAGAACCCTCTCTTGGGGTCTGGATCAGGACCCCTTTCCAGTCACAGAACTCATTTATTGTGTGCCTCTTGCAGACCAGATGCTTTCCATAAAAAAGCCCTATTCCCTTTGCACAAGGACCCCTAGAAGATGGGCCTGCAGTTAGTCTCCATTTGCCAGCTCCCCCTATTCTCTACCCTTCTCTGTCCCGTGCCCCTGAAGCTGACCCCTGTGGATGACACCTCCTAGCACCTCTGTGATCTGCTTCTAGCTGGGGTCATCTAATAGGAAGCACTGGCAGGAGATCAAAGGGAAGAAGGAGAAAAGCCAGGTGTTTCTTCCTTGTTTCCTCCCTAATTCAGAACCACATTTCTGGAGGGGTGTGTCCGTCCCTGACCTGTGCCAGGTGACTCATCCACCATGACCCCGGCCCTGCCTGGGCTCCTGAAACCCTTCTTCTTTTCTTCCTACTTCAGCTTATGGATGTGAACAGCTCTCCACTGTTGCTAGACTCCTGATGCCTCAGCACCTCATGTTCATGTGATTAACCCTGTCCACCCCGCTGTAAGTAGTCCCTTAATTAAACTCTCATAGTTTGAACCATCTAGGGCAGATTCTATCTCCTGCAGGCAGATGGATGAGATTGCAAGCATTAAGATGACCTATCCTATTTTACAGATGAGGACAAAGAGGCTTAGCGATTACAGGCACCAGCCCAAGGTCACATGACTCAACTTACTGGGAGCACTCTAGTGTGCCTGCCCCCAGTTCACCTCCTCTGTCCATTTCTCATGCTGCTCATTGTTACAAAGAGCCATCTGAACCCAGTGGTTAAGAGGACTGGCTTTTGAAGCCATACAGACCTGGGTTCAAGGCCCAGTTCTGTGACCTGGGGCACCTTATCTGCTCCCGGCTGAGCCTTATTTTCTTCATCTGAAAAATATGGAGAATTACAATGAGAATGCAAAGTAACTGACGTAACAGTTTTCGCCTTCCAAGGTTGCAGTTAGGTTTAAATGTAAATGTAATGTAAACGTAATGCATTGTAAATGTAAATGTAAATGTATATATCATTCTTAGCAGAATGCCCAGAACATGGTAAGAGCACAATAAATATAGCCAGGCATCATCATCGTCATCATCATCATCAATTATTATTATTGTTATTAATATTCCCTGTCCACCAACATCATTTCCAGACTTGCTACTCCCAGAAGATAACAGGAGAACAATTCACAGAAGACAAGATGAGTTAATAAGCCCAAGCTATTCATAGCCTCTGCTAAGAGTTTATTCTTACCAGGGCAGGACCGCAGACCCCAGAGTAACTAACTGGGTCAAAGTTGGACCTGACCCCTCCTTTCCTGCCCCCCTCCTCAGCCCTGGCACAGGAATTATCACATCGCCCATCGCCTCTGAAGGCCATCCCTGCTGTGAGGCTTTGATAGGGAAAGTGTGAAGAACAAAGACCATTGTTCACAGAGGCGGCTGGTGCCTCTCAGGCCCCAGGCCAGCTTCCCAGGGGTGAGGTCTGGCTCCGAAGACACAAAGACGAAAGTCATTAGGACCAGGGACAAACAATGACGGAATCTCTTCTATTTACCTGAACTGGAGGGGGCTGCCAAGTGGAAAACAATGAGGCTGAGATGCTGGACATATTCTCCCTCTGCCCTCTCGTCACTGAGTTTCTTTTGAAATAGTGGGACAGTGTATGGCCCAGGAGGCTCAGGGATTGGCTTCAGATCTGTTTCTGGAAAGAGAACATATGACCGTGTTTAAGAGAGTGGGCTGGGACACCCAGCTGCCTGGGTTCCAATTCTAACTCCATCAAAATCAGCCAAGTAACTTGGGTTTAGTGACGTCATTCTCTAAACTTCAGTACCTTCAGCTGTAAAGTGGAGATAATAATCATACCTCCCTCTCCTAAGCTGCATGTAACTGGGACCTAACTGAGGGCTTCTTATAGGATGTCAATCATTATTATCATAAATAGCAGCAGCAGCAGCTCTGTGTGGCTTTGGGCAAGTTCCCTGCCCCTTGCTGAAACTTCATATTTATATCTAGCAAATGGGAATAAGAAATCAGTTCCAGAAATCAGGTGAGAATTAATGAGGAGATAAAAGCCGCTTGGAAACTGGAAGGCTATACCGAATTGGAAGCAAGATCTCATGAAAAATCTAGTCCTGGCTCACCTGTGTGTGGCAGTCCACGAAACTTGGCCCACGTGTCCTTCTTCCCTGGCTACTGCCCCCATATGCAAAGGGGAGATAGGGACAGCGTCTTCCTTGCGGGGTGAGTGCCCTGAGGGTTCAAGGGGGTAACAACCCTGATAAAGCACTTAGCATGTGCTTTGTGCATATCGAGTGCCCAACACGTTACCGATTATTTTACTATTAAGACATTGAAGTTTTCAGTAAGGCCAGGAGCAGACATAGGGAAGTAACGAACAGAAATTAACATGCTGCCCAACCAGAATGGCTGCACTGCCCAAGCATACCCATTTTATGGAAGGAAAAACTGAGATCTGGGAGACAAAGTGGGTAGGAGAAGGAGATGCACTTCCTAATGTCCTGTGGCACCTGGTGAGTTCAGGTCTTTTTTACTGGAGTCCTTACCAGCCAGGAAAAATGGCAATGGCAGGAAATGTAGAGTGAATCCTCATCACTCCTTGATCCCAGCATCCTCACTCCTTTGCTGTCACACACCCAGGTGTTGATGTGGTTTAGAACAGACAGACATGTCCTTGTCCCTGAGTAGGGAAATCAACTCAGACTAGCTGAAGCCATCTCTCAGGCCTGCTTGTATTGGCTTAATTCTTAAGTAGGTGCATCTCATGGTGGCAAGATGTCCACCAGCAGTTCCCAACAGATATTCTACCAGCTCTGCAATCCCAGTGGGAAAAAAAAAAAAAGAGTTCTTCTTTCCTATTATTTCCAGCCAGAATTCTAGCATTGTTGGTTGCCATTGGACTGCCTTGAGTCTCATGACCCTGCATCTATTCCTGAGGTCCAGGAGATGAAATTTGCTGATTGACCAAACTGGGACAAGAAGTAGGTCCCTTCCCTTTGGAAGTCAAAGACTAGAAGTGAGGGAATGAATGGTATCCTGAGGGAAAATCAGGGTGCAATTACCAAGAGAGGTGAATATACTGACTACTTCCCTATAATCTAGTTTTTACCATTATAACTTTAAATATACAGAATCATAGAGCTGTACTCCTCTGTGTCTGCGTTTTTTTCTCCATACTGTGTCTGTGGGATTTATCCATGTGTTTGCATGTAGCAGCATTTCATATTTCACCACCAGACAGTATTCTACTGTGAAAATACATAGTAATTCATGTATCCATTATGCTGTGTGGGTATTTAAACTGTTTCAAGTTGTTTGCTGCTGAGAACATTCTGAGTACAACTCTTAGTGCACATAAGGACATGTTTCTGTTTGATGGGGTTATGGTGCTGGTTCAAGGCTCCTAGTTCCTTTTTAAAATTCCAAATTCCTTTCTACCAAATTCTTCTACAAGCTTAACTTCTACTCGAGTTTCTAACCTTCCAGCCTGCCCTCCAGATTATGGACTTGCCAGCCCCCATGATTATGTGAGCCAGTTCCTTGTTAAAATCTTAAGATAAATGTACACACACACACACACACACACACACACTATTGGTTTTGTTTCTTTGGAGAAAAGGCTCCAACCCACCTCAAACTTTACTCTGTTAACAGGAATATACCTAGGCATCATTGATAACTTGCTTGAGAATGAGGCTTGATAAGAAAAAAAGTGGAGGTGACATAAGAAAACACTGTAGTAAAAACAAATTCAAAGAAAGGCCAAAATGACATCTTGATTTTTAAGCCTGCAAATACCTAAAAATGTCAGGAGACACTGAATGAGCACTTACTGCACACCACATTTGTGCTTATTTTACGGATGAAGAAAACTGAGGCTCAGAAAGAGGATACGGGTCCTGTAATTTGCACAACTACTAAAAGATAAAGGTTGGATCTATTTAACATCAAATGGATGCTCCTAACCAATAAGCTCTGCTTCCATCTCCTTTTGAAGGGGCAGTTTGGGAAACCCCTGAAGGCTAGCTTTCACCTTTGAGATCAGTGTCTTCTTGGCGTACCTCTAGGGAGAAATATGTAGCCTCACACCCACATGTGCACCCAAAGCCATATCGCGCATTGGAGACATTGAGTAATGGATCTAATTCTTAACCCCAATCTAATCCTAACCCTCTAGTCAACCACCCAGCAATGGCTTTAACCACCTGACTCATGGTTGCATATTTTAATGTGCAATGGTAATAATTGAAACACAATTATCCCAAGTCTCTGCCACCAGCCAGTAGCAAGGCAAGAAGTCAACAGTTTACAGAAAGGGCTGAGACCCTCGCTCCACATTTCTGACTGCAGAACCAAGGTTGTCCTGAAGCCAAGGTTGACCTCACATGCCATCTGGTTTGCGGTTTCCAGACTCACCTCTGTAGTCTCACCTTTCCAGGTTGTCATCTACTCAGTGGCCAGAGGGCTTTTGACAAAACACAAACCTGATCACGTCACTTTCCTGCTCACAGTCTTTCTATGGCTCCCTATTACCTTTAGAATAAACTTCACAGTTTGGTCTAAAAGGCCCTCCATGATCTGACTCCTGTTTATTGTTCAGGGCTCCTGTCTTATTGTTTCTTGAACTTTCTGCTCCAATAATCCTGTATTATTTGTAGTTGCCACAAACTCGGTTTACTCTTTGAAGCCTCCATGCCTTTGCTTTGCTGTTCCCTGTGTGTGGAAAGTCCTTCCCCTATCCTGTCTTCCTGAGAGCTCCTCTTCATCCTTCAAAACCCAGCTTAAGCAACGTCATTTCCTCTGCCTCTGAAGCCTGGCCTCCCTTATGGAATTAATCCCAACTTCTCCTGCCTACTTTATTATTGCCCAATTCCCCACTCTCATGCTTCCAATGTGAGCACCCAGGGTTCTCTGTACTTCATAGCCCTTAACACACACTTTCTCATGTGGCTTGTTTACTGCTTTGTCTTCCCAGCTAGACCTTGGCCTCCTTGAAGACAGAACCATATCTACTGTGTCCATTATCATATCCCCATTGCCAGCACAGTGCCTAGCACACAGTAGTGCTCAATAAATATGGTTGGGAAAAAAAAGGAAGAAAGAAGAGAGAGAGGAAGGGAGAAAAGAATCAAGTGTTCTAACTATTCTATTAGACTGTGGATTTGCATATTGATCTCTATCTTAACAGACCCAGGTACAAGTCAAGACACACAGTAGGTCTTTCATAAACATTTGCTAAATTTAAAAAGTAGCACTGCAGATGCCCCTACAAAATCCAGCATGGCCCCACCACTTTAAGCTAGCAGCCCTCATGCCTTCATTCCCATTAGCTACAGGTTAAGAACACCCTCCAAGCTTTCCTCTTCCCCCCCCTGCAGTCAGAGTGCCTTTGTCTTCCAACACAAGACCCCTTCAGTGATTTTGTTTTTCATGGAAAAGCCAGGCAAGTTCATTACATTGTGTTCCTGCCTTGGAGATCATTGTCATTCATCCAACATCAAAGTCAGAGCCATGATCAGCTCATTTAAGACTTGTTCCACCCATATTTTCTTACAACCAGGAAATGGGGAATTTCCTTCATTTTTTAAACCATCCCAGTGAGTCTCTGCCACATGGCTTCCTTTACAAACTTTTCTTGAAACACAAGGATGGAATCATACCTCCCTCACCACTAGTGGTCATTAGGGGCCCCAGCCTTCCTCTGATCCTTATCAAACACTTGTCCAGCACATTGTAATCACAGTATTTTTTATTTACATAACACCTTTCTTTGGGGGCCAGGGTTGGGCTGTAAGGGAGTGAAAGCCAGATTGAAGCCTTGCATAGATTTTTGCTTCATTTATCCTGCAAGGCTTGCAATGGTGATCTTTAATGGGAAAACATAACAAACCTCTCTAAACAGTTAGAGAGAAGGGTGATTTGCCTACAGAGCCAAGGCATGTGCCAGGATGGAAAACAGCTGCCTGACCTTCTGTGCCTTTGTTCCATGCTGGTTGTTATTTATTTCCCAGATTCGTAAGTCTCTAGGTTTGAGTTATCATTCACTTGAGAGCTAGCAATTCAAATAAGTTCCTGTTACCCATATTCCCTGCTGAGTTTCCAATTTTTCCTCCATCAGCATCTATGGCACCATGCTCTGCTGGTTGACCTCTTACCTCCTATCATCGGCCTTATTTGAGGATTCCTCCTCCTCCTTTGTCTTAAATGTTCTATTTCTGAGCATTCAGGTCTCAAGCCTTTCTCATCTCACTCTTGGTCACTCCATGCTCTCTCTCAGCTTTGATGGATAATTCCAAAGTCTGGAACTACAGCCCAGACCTAAATGAGCTCCAGATGTGAATGATGTGTTAGGGTAGGTTAAGCTGCTATAACAAACAATATCCAGATCTCCTGGGCTTATAACAATAAAGATGTATTTCTCATTCCTGTCACAGTCCAGTGCAAATCAGCAGGGCTAGCTCCGCTCCACATAGTCATTCAGGGACCCAGGCAGTTTCTGTATTATGGCTTTGCCATCTTCCAGGGCAGTGATTCTCACACAGAAACATTTGGCAATGTCTAGAGATACTTTTGGCTATCTGGAGGCGGAGGCAACTTGACATTTAGTTAGTAGAGTTTAGGTATGCTGCTAAATACCCTATAATACACAAAACAGTCTCCCATAACAAAGAAGCATCTGGCCCACATTATCAGTTGAAACAATCCGCTCTAGGATATCAGAATCCTCTACTGGATCTTCTGCATCTGGCTAGCAGGTAAGCAAGGAGAAGTCCTGGAAGATTATGTGGGAGTTTTAGAGGCCAGGCCTAGAAGGCGTATATGCTACTTTTACCCATATTTCACTGAACAGAATTCAGTCACATGCTCTTACCTAACTGCAAGAGAGACTGGGAAATGAAGTCTACTTGTGTGGCCAGGAGAAAAATGACCCAACTTTAGGTAAAGACATGATGTGTCCCTGTCATAGACAGCTTAAACTCAATGTGTCCCATCCTGAGTATGTCACCTTCTCTAGGTCTCCCAAATCTCCCCTTCTTTCTGCGTAACTCACATTCGTCTACATTAATTCTCATCTGTCCTCCATTCAGATTCAATCTTATCTCCTTCCATGGACAATAACTTTATCTCAAAGGAACAACTTCCTCATGGAACACCCCCAGACCCCCAGATTATCCAAGGCCAGCTCTGGAATATCTAAGTAGTACCCAGCTGTTACTATCACATTGCTCTGTTTATTTTCCTTCATAGCGCTTAGCACCACTGTGTGTGTGTATGTGCGCGCGCGCGCGCACGTGCGTGCGTGTGTGTATGTATTCACTTTCTTGTTTGTTATCTATTTCCCACACTAAACTGAAGGCTCAAGAAGGGTGGGGTGCTTATTTGTCTTGTTCACTGCTATTCCCAGCACCTTGTAGAATGCCTGACACATAGTAAGAACTCAATAAAGACTTGTCGAATAAACAAATTAATCCTTCCTGTACAAAACAGTTTGATTGGTCTTTCTAAAATACAGGTGAGGCCGTAGCACTTCCCCATTCTAATCTCCTAAAATATTTAAGTTCAAACTCTTCAGCCTGTCATTCAAAGCCATTCATGATCTGGCCCTATTCTACCCTTCCACATTTTCCTCATATATTCCTAGCTATGTGCCTTATACTTTGAGCACCCTACAATTCAGCTCACAAGTCTTTGTATATAACACGTCCAATACATTTTGTTTGTTTGTTTGTTTTGTTGAGATGGAGTTTTGCTCTTGTTGCCCAGGCTGGAGTGCAATGGCGCGATCTCGGCTCACTGCAACCTCAGCCTCCCAGGTTCAAGCGATTCACCTGCCTCTGCCTCCTGAGTAGCTGGGATTACAGGCACACACCACCATAATGAATTTTTTTTATACTCAGGTCTCTATCTTTGCATATACTATTCCATTGCCTGGATACTTCATTTTCCTTCACTTGGCAAACTACTACTCATTCCTCAATACGCTGTTCTTTCTGATGACCCTGGTAGTCATTCACTCTCTCCTCTTCATTCCCTATGTACTCTTTGAAATACACTGCAATTGTTTTCTCTGTGGTTGCTTTCTCCCCCGTTAGACCATGGGTTCCTCATGAAAAGGGAGACTCTTTTAGTTGATTGTGTGGCCATTTCCCACCACAATGCTTAGTAGAATGCTGGGCTCCAAGCAGGTGCTCAGAACATGTGTGAGGAAATCGAAGGTGGATGCATGGATATTCTGGTCAGAATCTCCATGTTCTCTGGCCATTTTCTCGAAGGAGCCAAGAACCCAACATGGTTATGCTGTGCTTTCCCTGGGATCACAGCCATATTCACTGCAGAACCAACTGGTGCTCAGAAACATCTGCTGCTGGATCCAAATCACCAGATTGAGTGCAACTGGCAATCAATTGATTGATCACTGGAAGCAAAATGAGTGGAGGTGCCAGGTCACAGGGGAGCAGGGAACAGCCAGACCCAGCACTGCTGGCTACACCCCTGATGTCAGTCAGCAAAGGGGCTCCAAAAAGTTTAGCCGGGCTGGCCACTACCTCCTGGTCAGGGAATTCTAAAAACTTCTCTCATGCCTAACTCTTGTTAGGCACGTCAGATCTCAGCTTAAAAATGCTACTTACTCAAGGAGTCCTTCCTGATCCCCAAGACCGTGTTAGAGGTCCCAGGTATACAGGGCTCTGTGATGCCCCTTTATGGAGCAATCACTGTTGTAAGCCTGTCTGCTCCATCAGAGTGTAAGTTTTCATGGGAGCAGATCTGGGTCAGGCTTATTCTTTGCTGTATTCTCTGTATTTCCACAGTCCCTGAAACAGAGTCAGCTCTCGATATCAGTTCGGGTCCTATCAAGGAAACAGAAACCACTGTGGGTATGTGAAACTGTGGGACTTTAATGCAGGGAAGGGATTACCCAAGGGATGGAAAATCTGAGAGGCCAAGGGGATGGTGAGCGACTCAGAGGTTAACCAAAGCGGGAGTTCCTGCCACCCCAAGACTGGGGGACAGAAGGAAAAGGAGATGTGACTGAAGCCCAGAATTGGGGTCTCCTGGTGGGAAGTGGAACCACAATGGGCCTTGTGGAGACTGCTGAATACAAAAAGAAGATGCAGTGTCCTGGGACAAAAGTAAGGTGTATTAGTCTGTTCTCATGCTGTTAATAAAGACATACCCAAGACTGGGTAATTTATAAAGGACAGAGCTTTAATGGACTCACAGTTCCACATGTCTGGGGAGGCCTCACAATCATGGCAGAAGGCAAGGACAAGCAAAGGCACATCTTACATGGTGGCAGGCAAGGAGAGCTGGTGCAGGGGAACTGCCCTTTATAAAACCATCAGATCTCATGAGACTTATTCACTACCATGAGAACAGCATGGGAAAGACCTGCCCCCATGATTCAATTACTTCCCACCAGGTCCCTCCCATGACAGGTGGGAATTATGGGAACTATAATTCAAGATGAGATTTGGGTGGGGACACATCAAAACCGTATCAGAAGGGGAGAAAATACTCTGGGCATTCCCTGTCCCCTGCCCTCCAATATGTCATGAGTACCACCAGTGCAAACAAAGTGATGGAAAAGCTGGGACCTGCAGCTTGCAGAGACCAGCTCCTGAGATACAGAGACAAGCAAGAGAAGGGTGAAGAATAGGTCTGACAGCAGATGGGTTCTGGACCCACTCTTAGGAGACCTGGATGACCTTCTGCCTTGGGACGGTGCATTAGTCATTAGTCATGGTGAGTGAGGTTAAACTGCAATAACAAAAACACCCCTAATTTCAGTGACCCAGAACAACAAAAGTTCCTTCCTTGTTCATGCTACATGCAAGACCCTCAACAGGAGTGTCTGCTTGTCATTGTTCAGTGGCTCATGCTGACAAAGGCACCGTGCAGACATGTGCTTCCATGACCATTCTGGTAAGAGAAGAAAGAGCTGTAGAGATGTGCACTGGCAGTTAAGTACTTCCACTTCAAAGTTACATCTTTCACTTCTCACATGTCACTGGCCAAGCAAGTCACATGTTCATAATTAATTTTAAATGATAGGGGAAATGTAATCACCTCATATCCTCTAAAGAAGAAGAAAATTGGAAATAGAGGTGAGCAGAAATAGTTAATGTTTATCACAGCTCTCTTACCTGGCTCCTACCCAATTCCAGAGTGTCTGCCAGTTATTGTCACTACCTAAAACACCCCCACCTACACACAACACATATTTCCAACTGCCTCCCTGGGGACCCATTGAGAATGATGCTATAAAATTATATTTATTTGCAATAAGAGATGATCACACTACACTGATTTTGAAAACAGCAAGTCATAGAAACTTAGCACCTTAAAACAATAAGTGTATTATCTCACAGTGTCCCTGGCTAAGAAACTCAAGAGTGGCCTGACTGGGCAATTCTGTCTCTGAAGTTCTCCTGAAGTTGCAGTCAGATGTTGTTGAGGACACAGTGTCATCTGGAGGTTTGACTGGGGCTGGAGAATCTGCTCAAGATGACTCACTCATATGGCTGGCAAGTTGTTATATATACTACAGCACCATATTTTGTTTAAAAATTATGGATATCTTATATTTTTTATAATAGTAGCTAGCCACCAGCATGGACCCTAAGGATCCTTGCCTCCTAATCCTTGGGTCGTCTTCATCTACATTCCCACACTATGTCAGAGTTGGTCTCTGTGATCGATAGAATATGGCACACATGATGGAGTATGACTTCAAGTCTAAATAAAAAATGTCTTTGCTGCTTCTGTTTTGCTTCCTCTTTGATCACTCATTTTGAAGGAAGCCTGCTGCCATATTGTGAGGGCACTCCAGCAGCTTATGGAAAGAAAGGTCATCCTGGTGAGAAACTGAGGTCTCCTACAAACACCTAGAACCAACTTCCCAGCCATAGGGGTGTCCAAACTTGAAAGCAGATCCTCCAGAGCCAATCAAGCTTTCAGATCAGACTGCAGTCCCAACAACATCTGACTGTAATTTCATGAGAGATCCTGAGCCACTACTGCTCTGATAAGCTGCTCTTAAATTCCTGACCAGTGGAAACTGAGATAATAAAATATATTGATTAAGTTGCAAAGTTTTTGGACAATTTTTGAGATACTCATGTAGACATCTATAGGGTATGCAATGGTTTGAATGTTTTCCTTACATTTCATGTGTTGGAAACTTAATTCCTAAATTCATACATTGATGTGTTTCAAGGTGGGGCCTTTGAGGAGGTCATTAGGATTAAATAAAGTCATCAGGGTGGGGCACCCAGGATGAGACTGATGGCTTTATAAGAGAAAGAGAGATCTCAACTAGCATGCTGATTCTGTCTCGGCATGATATGCCTTCCACCATGTCGTGATACGGCAGGAAGGGCCTCACCAGACGCTAGCACCATGCTTTTGGACTTCCCAGTCTCTAGAACCATGAGCTAAACAAATTGTTATTCTTTATAAATTACCCAGTCTGTGGTTTCAGTTAGAGCAAATAGACTAAGTTATAGAAAATAGACTAAGACAGGATATATGTATATATCTTCAGAGAAAATTTTTAACAGGATAATATTATGGGAGGAGGTATTTATTTTCTTCTTAGTGTATACGCAATCTTTATGTTTTCTAAAGTGAACACATATTACTTGGAATAGAAGAGAAGACAAACAGGAAGAAGAAGAGGGAGAAAGAGAAACAGCAGCAGCACTTGGGTGATAAAGAGTCTTTTATTAGCTGCTTCAAGCACGAAAATAAGCTAGACTGTGCTACTGAGTCTGTATAGCTGCCAGTGTAGATAATTTGTTAAGGAAGATGACGGAGCCAAAGGAAGAACCTGCCAGTGTTCATCTTGGGCCTCCCCATCCAGTTAGCTCTGCTTTGAGCTGCTCAGAGAATGTGTTTGGAAGCACTGTGATGCTGGAGACCCATGGCCTGGAAGGGGCGGGGATGTTGCATTTGGAAAACCTAAAGGTTTCTGAACTGGCAAGATATGTCAGCAAAAAGCCCTTGCCTGTCTAGACAAAAGTTTGATTTTGAATCAAAAAGGGAATGTTTGCAAATAGGAAAGCAGTTTAAGCATTTCTTTCTTCTTTGAAAATAACCATGAATTTTTAACTATCAACCCTAAAGAGAGACAGCGAGACTCCAGCAGTGACACCAGGGATTTTAATCTTGCCCACCCTCTTGGATGGATTGTGAGATGGGGCCATTTCTGAGATTGGACATTGACTCCTTGCACTGAAGAAAGAGGTTTAACAAGGCCCCAGGGCATCCAGGAGAAGAGACAGCTTTCTATAGCAAACATCTAAGGCTTGGGAATTGGCATTACTCAGGCAGCCTGAGAAAATGATCAATTTGACTGCTGACAAAGGGAAATCACTGTGCCAAGATTTGCTGACCTTGTGGGGAAAGAAATCCATGTTGGTTCACCTGGCTCCGATGGTAAGGGTTCTTGTAGGTTGCTGTCTGAAACCACAGTTTCAGCTGAGCCTCAGGGTTCAAGGGAAGGCCTGCTCTGGATGTGGTCCCCCTGAACATTCACTGGCTCTGTTGGCTTGACCCAACCCTTGGCAGAGAAATTGAGCATTTGAGACTAAGCCGGGTGAGTAGGTTAGATTCATGTGGTTGTAAGTGATGGAAATCTGATGGAGGTTTCTTAGGTAGGAGATACTCAAAATAGCTAGGTTGGAATGTAGCTGAACTTGTGGCAGTACTAGAACAGGAAAAAAGGTCCTTGGGGACCCAGGTGGGACCTTTTCTTTACCCCTTGTTTCTGTCTCTGGCTACAGGCTGGCTTCATTCCTCTCTCTTTAACTGCAAACAGACTCCAGTTGCCTCTCCGACCTGCATAGCAGGCATCCCACTGTGCCCAGGTTTGCAGGTTATTTATTCTACCACTAAAAGGGAATGAATCAATATGCATGTGAGTGGGTGTGTATTTTATTTCCTCTCTCCTTATTCTAAGTTATCAGGGAGAAACCTCTAATTGGCACATCTTGGGTAAGGTAACTGCCATGGTCTAAACAGGATAACTAATGAGTTTGGACTTATCAGGCATACAATGGTGGCCAGGGCCCTTAGCTGGGGGTGAGGCAGTCATGACACCTTGGGGATTCTTTCCAAAAGAATTCTGCTCCCCTATATAGGGGGCCCATGCACCAGTGTGGAGGACTGAGCTATTGTTCTCACTCCAAGCAGCTGTGAATCTGAACCTACTTGTCATTCTTTGATGCCTCTCCACACAGCACAGGTACCAGCGCTAAGATGTATTTTTATTTTTCTGTAAATCTTTTCCCCTGCTAAACTTAGCACAATGCCAATGAAATCACAAGCTTAATGTGATGAGAGGCAATACCAGACAGACAGGGTTTGAATCCAGCTCTGCCACTTCCTTGCTGTGTGACCTTGGACAAGTTGATTAACCTCTCTGTACCTGTGTTTTTTTCTTTCTTTTCATTTTTTTACAAAATATTTATTAAAGTGGTACGATGTACAACTTCTTATTTGTCATTTGGAAGTCCTTTATTATAAAAGCAATTCTTTTGTCTTTTGACAAACAGCTGCCACAGAGGTTATTCTATTTTTTTGTTTTAATTTTAGTAATTTTGTTGTTAATTTGTAATTTTGTTGTTAATTTGTAATTTTTATGGGTACATAGTAGGTGTGTATATTTATGGGGTACATGAGATGTTTTGATACAAGCATGCAGAGTGAAATAATCATATCATGGAGAATGGGGTACTCATCCCCTCAAGCATTTATCCTTTGTGTTACAAACAGTTCAATTATGCTCTTTTAGTTTTTTTAAATGTACAATTAAGTTATTCTTGACTATAGTCATGCTGTTGTGCTATCAAATAGTAGGTATAATTCATTCTTCCCACTTTTCTTGTACCCATCCTCTGATTTTTTTAATTATTATATAAAGTAGGCATAATGGTAGTAGCTAGATTATAAAAATGTTTTGAGAATTAAACGTAGACATGCTTAATATCATGCCAGGCATTAGCTAAGATGACTCTTAGCTAATAGCAGTAGCCATAGCAATGATAGTGATAGTAGTATTGCTATTGTTATCATTATCCATGTACCATATGGATATCATGACATGATATCATATCAATGACATGAACAAAAACACAGAATTTACAAATGACCGCCTATGTAGTTCATCTGGAAAGGAAGTGATTCCTGACATAAATTCTCCCTAGCAGGGTTCTCCACTGTTTAAAAATAAACGTTGTATAAAGCTAAGGATCTATATTTTCCAGGTCTATAGATGACAGTGTGATGAAACAAGGGGAAGGCAACTAGATGGTGTAATAGATGGGCATGGAGGGGAGGACGAGAAGGCAGTAGAGGGTCACGGTTAAAGGACAGGCTCAGCAGTAAGGCCAACTTGAATTCAAAGCATGCACCCATAGTATCATTTTGGACAAGCAATGTAACCTTTCTATATCTTAGTTTTCTCAATTGTAGAGTAGGAATTTTAATAATATTCATCTCTTATAAACATCTGTTGGTTTTCAATATCCGTTCACCCTTCTAAAAAGCAACATAGCCTGGTGCAGTGGCTCACATCTGTAATCCCAGCACTTTGGGAGGCCAAGGCAGGAAGATCACTTCAGCCCAGGAGTTCAAAACCAACCTGGGCAACATGGCAAGACCCTATCTCTACAAAAAATATAAATATAAATATAAAAAAAAAAAAAAAAAAAAAATTAGCCAGGTGTCATGGCATGCACCTGTAGTCCCAGCCATCAGGGAGGCTGAGGTGGGAGGATCGCTTGAGCCCAGGAAGTTGAGGCTGCAGTGAGCCTTGAGTGTGCCATTGCACTCCAGCCTGGGTGACAGAGCGAGACTCTGTCTCAAAAATATTTGTAAAAAGAAAAAATAAATAAAAAGCAGCACTCTGAATTTCTTTCAGAAAAAAATTCTCTTCCCAATTTTCACCCGTGGTTTGGGTAGGGGAACCCTACTGATGAGCATGATTTGTACAATGCATCCTGTGGTCTCAGGGATTAGCTTGGAGATGGGCACATGAGTCTTCAAGAGGCAATGAGATATCCTGAGACTTTTGCTAATGCTTCTGGAAAAGAGCCTCTCGCTTTGCTTCTCTCGAATACAAAACTAGAGAGAAATAACGATTGAAGTCCTGGCAACCATCCTGTGTCCTTGTAGAAAGATGCAGTGTGAGAAAGGGGCCTACGCAGGAGAGAGGGAATCAGTCAGACACGGAGGACAACAGCTGGGTGCTGGATCGTCATTCCTGAAGCTGCTTGACCCCAGGACTTTTCAATTTCAGAAGCCAATAGTGTCGACAACTATATAACTTTTCAGTTATGCCTTTTTGGCACAAACCAACCAGAACTGGGTTTTCTAGCCCTTGCAACAGAAGCCCTAAATGTTCCTCTTACTGATCAGATTAAATGAGAAGTCAAGTCTCCTAACATACTTAGCACATAATAAGGCTCCCACACAGGAAGTTACTGGGGTTTCAAGGTGACTAGAAGGAAATCTTAGTACCAGGCAAACTGACATGCTGGCTGAATCCTAAACCTTTTCCTTCCTTTCTAAAACCAACATTTTTTCAGCCTATCTAAGAGTTAAACAGACAACAGCACACCAGCCAATGACCTGCTAGGCTAATTAGCCCAGAATTACAGGCGTTATGTGGGCTTACTGGACTTGCCAGGAGATGCTGTTTTGCAAATTTGGAGTGAAATATTTAATTAATCAAAGCTGCTCAGCCAGTTGTCATAGCAAGTCAGCCAGTCAGCATGCACCCACCCAGGCAGGGGCCAGGGCTCTGAAGGAAGATGCCAGTGCGAACTTGTCCTAGGCCTTCCCTCTCCTTCACCACGGAAACCGATCAAAAAGTATCAGCCATGATGAAGAATGTAGAACACTCGCTTTTGGCACCTGACATTTCACAGCTCCAGGGTGTTCAGGGTGTTCAGGGAGTCTGGTGGCAGGCTGACATCTGTCCCCAGGGTTTCCACAGCACCATGCCAGAGCGGTCAAGATTACATGCTTTGGAGAGGGAACATTCCCACTGATGGACCAGCTCAGGGAAGAAAAGATCAGGTTGTGGCTTTGTTTTAGATGTACATATAGCAATTTATTTTTAACTGTTATAATGCATATTTTAAAATTTAGTTTATTATTTTGCACATTTAAAAATAGGGAACATCTTGCATATTTCGATTAAAAATAAAAATAATAACAAACTGCTATAGTAGGCAGGATGCAGTGGCTCACACCTGTAATCCCAACACTTTGGGAGGCTGAGGTGGGAGGACAGCTTGAGGTCAGGAGTTCAAGACCAGCCTGGGCAACAGAGGGAGAACACATCTCCACAAAAAAATTTTAAAATTAGCTGGCCATGGTGGCGCATGCCTGTAGTCCCAGCTAAGTGGGAGGCTGAGGTGGGAGGATCCCCAGAGCCCAGGTGGTCAAGGTCACAGTGAGCTATGACCATGCCACTACATTCCAGCCTAGGCAACAGAGTAAGACCCTGTCCCCCCACAAAAAATTGCAATAATGGATTTATATGTTGTGTTTACTTTTACAAACACATATACACATAGACACGTACATATAAATCCACTTAATCTTCACAACACTCCTAGGAGCTACATCCTGTTATTATCACATCTATTTTACCAATGAAGGAGCAGAAGCACAGAGAGGTTAATCCACTTTACAAAGTCACACAGACAGCAACAAACCAGGATTCAAACTGAAGCAGTGTGCCTTGGAATCTGTGCCCTTAACCTTGAGGCTGAACTGCCTTTCACTGCTTCTATGTCATTATTTAGTTTTCAAATCACAAAAATAGTATGCTCATTGGGGAAAAAAAAATAGAAAGTACAAAAGAAGAAAAAAGGGACCCCCAGAAATTGCTCCACAATCATATATTTTGTTGTATATTTGTCCAGTCCTATTCTGTATGAGTGGGTATATGATTTTATGTACAAATAGGATAATATTTGGTATGCATTTTTATAACCTGCTTTGTCACTAAATAGATAGGAAATATAAAAGGTTATCCAGGTATTCCCTGTCCCCAGTTTCTTTCTAAAAGGTGACCAGCAAAATAGTCTATGTATATACTACCAAATACACACACAGGAAGTTTTTTAATATAAAAAACTATATATATATTTCTGTTTTTACACATATGGTGGCTTCTTATACACAATATTTCATTTTTTTTCTTTTCTTACATTAGATTTTCTTGAAGACTATTCCTTATTCTTATGGAAAGAGCCCCTTCATTCTTTTATAAAATGGCATTGCATTGGCCGGGCATGGTGGCTCATGCCTGTAATCCCAGCACTTTAGGAGGCCGAGGTGGGTGGATCACCTGAGGTCAGGAGTTCAAGACCAGCCTGGCCAATATGATGAAAACCTTCCTCTAGTAAAAATACAAAAAAAAAAATTAGCTGGGTGTGGTGGCGCACGCCTGTAATCCCAGCTACTTGGGAGGCTGAGGCAGGAAAATTGCTTGAACCTGGGAAGCAGTGGTTGCAATGAGTCAAGATTGCGCCACTGCGCTCCAGCCTGGGTGACACAGTGAGACTCCGTCTCAAAAAAAAAAAAAAAAGAAAAAAAGAAAAAAGCTGCATTGCATTATATTGTGTGCTTGTACCATAATTTATTCCACTAGTGCATATTGGTAAATATTAAGGTTATTTCCATTCCTAGAGAGGTAACATTTGAACTGAGACCTAAAATAAGGTAGAAAGGTAAAAGGTGGAGAGAAAGGAAAGAAAACAGACTCAAGATGTAGTGAATAGCACGTGCAAAGGCCCTGAGGCCCATAAAATGGAAAGGTTTCCAGGGCAGCTGGTCACACCAAAGCAAGGCACCTGATTCTGGGCATTACTGGTTCTGGCGAAAGGTCCCGCTTTCCTTCTAAGAGTAATGGAAGCTACTGACAGGGACGCATTTTGGACAGTTAAATAGGAAAGCCTCACCTAGGCTAAAATCTGAGCTTCTCCACCCCTACCAGTGGGGATTCAGGGCCATGGGAAGAAGCTTTGTCTACCATCCTGTTCCAGGTGACCAATGCTTGTCTACCTCCTTCCAGTTAGCCCCACTGTCAGAACTCAAGGAACTTCCTTCATCCTGCCTAACCCCCCTGCAATCTCCCCCAAGGAAAATGCTCTCTGAGGGGTTAAGAATTCTTGTTATTTCCCTCCCAGGACTGGGTATATAAAGATACAGGAGAGGTGTTAAGCCTTCAGTAATTATCACCTCTGTAGAGGGAGGAGGGAGTCCAGATGGGGTCAAGAGGAGAGTGAGTTTATTTTCCCAGTGGATTCCATGTTTTCATTAAAGCCCAAAGCCCAAGTTCGGGGCATGTGTGTCTGTCCCTGGATTGAAAGGAAGGGAGATCATTGCCATGGCTGCCTGGTCTTTTGAAGGAAGAGACAGTCTTCAGCACCGCAGGAGCAAGTTGGGTTTGGCCTAAGCTGGGTGTACTGGTAGCATCCTCATAATTTAATTGCCAGTTTTCATTTGATTGGATTAGAATAACCCTTCCCCGTGTTTATGTGACTCAAGAATGCTTCCTCCTAAGCCCCAGTTCCAAAATGAGAAATGTTCGTGTTTTGATTAGGATTTTCCCATTTTATGAGCTTCAGAGTTCCCTGAAATGCCAAAGGAAAGAAAATAAAAAAGGGCTGAGACAGAGGCAGAAGTGGATTCTTGACTTTAGAACTATTCTAAGACCCCATGAACCCTACGGGGTCTGGGGTAAACTCGTACACTGGATTCTAAACCACACTTTTAAAATTATCCTCTCTTCTAGTCCCCAAGTCTTTTGCTGAGAAGATGCCAGCAACAAATGTCTGGCTGGTGTACGTACAACCATGCCTGGCCTGTCTAAGTGATTCTACACCTTTGACAGTAGGATGGTTGTTTTTAAATAGTTTGATAATTGATACTCTATGTTTTGAGCTCTTTAAATATGTTAACTTATTCAGTGCTCTCTACAGCCTTATAAAGTGGGACCTATTGTTATTTCCATTTTACAGATGAGGAAACGGAGATTCAAAAACTTAGCCAAGTTAAACAGTTACTAGTGGCAGAGCTGGAATGTGAACCTGGGTAGTCAGGCTTTAGAGCTGTGCTGTGCAGTCCAATATGGCAACTACTGGACACATTAAGCACCTGAAGTGTGTCGAGTCCCCATTCAGATGTACTGCGTGTATGAAATACTCACTGGGTGTCGAAGACTTACAGGGTTTTGAAATGCTCACTGGGTTTTGAAGACTTAAAAAGAGAATGTAAAATTTGCCATTCATGGTTTTTTATTTTAATCTGATTGCATGTTGAAACGAGGATACTTTAAACATATTAAGTCCCATAAAATACATAATTCATCCTGTCTCTATCTTCTTTTTCTCCCCCAGATGGAGTCTCATTCTGTTGCCGAGGCTGGCGTGCAGTTGTTTGTCGAAACCGGTTATCTCAAAGGTAGCAACTAAACACGCTACTACCAGTCCTAGGATTAGGGACTAAAGGGAAGATATTAGAATTACTAAAACTTAGAAAGTTAAAGGAGGGGCCCCATGAAACTGAAACTTGGCTAGTGATTCTGAGTTCAGAAAAGGGCTCCCATTGGCTGGATCCCTGATTTCTGAGGAAGGGGCACTGTCAGCTGGTACTGTTGTTTCCAAGGGGGAATACCATTGGAAAAAAATGCAGACCGCTGGGGAAAAATGCCAATGGGATTTACCTGTTGATATAAGAAAGCACCACTGCTGCTGGGAGTAGAGTAGAGGAGGAAACCCAGTGCTCATAGGAGCCACGTGTAGACAGGAAAGCGCAAGTCTCTTCACATCTTCAAAGCCACTCAATCTCCCTCTATTGCTCTCCATTGGCAAAGCCCAAGAGGAGGCCTCTGGCAAAGCATAAATGACATTTTCAGAGTCCTGGCCTTAGCATTACAGGGCAGAGCATAGAGGGTGAGTTTGGAGCTCAGACAGTAATGACTGGCGCTGTGGCTGACATCCCTACCAGCCTGTAACTGCCATGAGCACAAGGATTGAACTTGTCCACTGCTCTTCTCTTAGTGCCTACAACACAGGGAACAGAACGTGGGAATGAAAGGTCAAAGACCTTCACCTTGGAATGGGGGCAAAAGGGAAGTCACTTCTAAGCCCCAAGGCCCAAGAAGCCGTTGTTTGAAGAGTAATTTAAGGATAGCTGAAGAAGAATGAGAAATGATAAAGTTTGTCATTGGTTTCAACATTCCAGTCCACAGCTTCCCTTTACTGTGGAGACATATATCCCCAGCTAAGGTTGGTGCAAAAGTAATTGCTGTTTTAGCCATTAAAAGTAATGGCAATTACTTTTGCACCAACCTAATATATTAAGCATGTTTTCTAAATCTCAGCTGAGATTATTGGCTAGAGTAAGGAAAAGATGGACCACTTTAAATCCAGACTTGGTCAAAAAGTTGGGAAGTATGGCAGCTACAGCTTATGTTCCATCTTGTCCAATACCTAGCACATACTAACAGCCAGTATGTATTTGTTGAATTAGAATGGAAGAAGGGATGAAATAGCATGCAAGAATGGATCCATCTAGAGGCTCTCCAGATCATTCATGCAGTAACAGGATGCCACATGCAAAGAAAATCTTGGACAGGGTTGAAAGAACCAATGGGGCTTTTTGAATGACTCAGAGTAAGGATTCAGCAACAGTGAGCTCCCATCTTTATTATCAATATTGTTATTTTTCAAAAAACTTTTAATGCCTATTAAAGACTACAAAAGTGAGACTTTTAATAATGTAAATATTTAATTTGCTCTTGCCCAGTTTAATAAATAATGTAATAGTGTTTTTTTACCTTAAAATCTTATAACTGTTTCTGTAGATTTTGAGCCCTTCAAATGTATTAACGTATTCAACTCTCTCAGTTGCTCATTGATTTTAATTCACTCTTTTTGTTGTTGTTGTTTTTTGAGACTGAGTCTCACTCTGTTGCCCAGGCTGGAGTGCAGTGGCATGATCTTGGCTCACTGCAACCTCCACCTCCCAGGTTCAAGCAATTCTCCTGCCTCAGCCCCCTAGTAGCTGAGACTACAGGCACGCACCACTACAGCTGGCTAATTTTTTTATTCTTAGTAGAGACAGGGTTTTGCCATGTTGGCCAGGCTGGTCTCAAACTCCTGGCCTCAAGTGATCCACCCATCTCAGCCTCCCAAAGTGCTGGGATTACAGGTGTGAGCCACCATGCCCAGCCACTTAATTCACTCTACTTGTTTTTTAAAACAAATATGTGTCAGAGATGCATGTTTACATCTAATGTATTTGTGCACACACACACTGTATTAGTCTATTCTCATTCTGCTAATAAAGACATACCCGAGACTGAGTAATTTATAAAGAAGAAGAGGTTTAATGGACTCACAGTTCCACATGGCTGGGGAGGCCTCACAATCATGGCAGAAAGGAAGGAGGAGCAAAGGCATGTCTTACATGTCTGCAGGCAAGAGGGTGTGTGCAAGGGAACTGCCCTTTATAAAACCATCAGATCACATGAGACTTTCTATCATGAGAACAGCCTGAGAAAACCCACTCCCATGATTCAATTACCTACTACCGGGTCCCTCCCACAACTTGTGGGGATTGTGGGAGCTAAAATTCAAGATGAGATTTAGGTAGAGAAACAGCCAAACCATATCTCACACACATATGCATATACACATATATACATATATATACATATATAGATGTGTGTGTGTGTGTGTATGCGTATATATATATATACATATATATATATCCCATTCCATAAGCTACTCATGACAAGAAGCACCAAGCTGATAAGGGATGATGAATTGTCAAGTTCTGGCTTACAGCTATTCATGTTAATCCCAGGAATTTGGGGATGAGTCTTCATTCTCTTCTCTCTGGCTGTATTGTGAGGGCGGCCTAGAGTTAGATTTATCTGAGTGACTCAGAATGCTTGTTCTATGCTCCTAACATGCTGTGTGACCTTGGACAAGCCACATGAACCCTCAGGGCCTCAGTGTTCCAATCTGCAAGCTGTTAATCCTCTCAAATGTTTATTTTAGCCATAAACAACTGTCCAAATAATTAGACTCCTCAGCCCCTGATCCATTATCAGAATTTCGTGGAATTCCATGGGTCTTTCTCACTCTTAATGATGGAGACAAAGTGATTTCAGAGGTCCAGAAATGAGTTTTTGGCCAGGTACGTGCAGTAATAATAAAGGAATGGGACTCACACACAAAGGAAATGAGATTCCAAAGAAATGCCCCCATTCATGTAAGGGCAGCAGAAAAAGAGAAAGACTTTCCATACTGCTGAGGTTTAAACACTCAAGAACATTATACAGGCATCAGATATCTCGGGAAACGAGGGAGCTGGCGTCCCTTTAGGTTAATACACATATGGAAAATGTTAAATGGGGAGGTGAGGGAAGTGGGAGTGTACATGAGCTCAAGAGACACCTCGATTTGTTTCCGGGAAAGGAAGAAATTGGTGCATATGATGAACAAGCCAAAAGGCTGGATTAAACTAAGTCCCAACAGGGGAAATTGGCACAGAATGGATGGGCCAGAGTACATTTTTCTTTCTTTCCTGTGCGCGTGTTAGTGTGTGTGCGTGCACACACATACAACAGTATCATTATTGTTCCTTTTCTATTAGTAAAATTTATCTGCTCAAGATACTTGACCAACATACCCTAGAAACTAAGGTGTTGTAAGTTCTAAATCTAATGCCACTGCTAGCTTACTGAATGACCTTTGGCAAAATCATAACTTCTATGGACCTCAGTTTCCCATAATGGCATCTGGTAGTGGCCGCTTATGTAGGTCACAATGGATGGAGGGCAAGAAGATGGGATTCAGGATCCAAGATGTTTGTTGGAGGGGGCGTGAGTTAGCCAAGTTTCCATCTACACATCCCAAGGTTGCTCTAAAATTCATTCTGTTCTCTAAAAAGCTAGATGCAACCTGCACAGCTCTTTCCCCATGGTCTGTGGATGAGGATTGTTCCGAGTTGGGGATAAAGACAATGTCAGAATTCTATGGAACTTGTAAGAATCTTTTTTCCATGTAGAAGGTATAGATTAAATTTCATCACAGCATTGCCCCTAATAACAAAATAAATGGAAACAACCTACACTGCAAACTAAAGGAAATTGTTAAAGAATATATCATGGACACTTGCACACTGAAATATGGAACAGCCATTAAAAATAAAGCTTTCATCGATTTGGTGGCATGGGACAATGCTCAGATCCACAAGTGTCACAAGCAGGACTCAGAACTATACATATTGTTAGAATCTAAGTGTGCAATATATGTGTAAAGGCCTGCAAATATTTAGGCACAGGTTCTTGTGAATTGGCTATGATCTATAGGCTTACTCTCTCTCTTGAATAGCCTAAGAGCTAAGAATCATCTTCTATCTTTTTAAATGATGGAGGGGGGAATCAAAAAAGAATGATATTTCATGACACCTGAAAATTACACAAAATTGAAATTTTAGTGTTCAAAATCAAGTTTTATTGGAACATGGCCATGCATTATTAATGGCAAAGTTGAATCTTTACAACAGAGAGCAGATGGTTGTAAGGCAGAGAATATTTCTATCTGGCCCTCTACAGAAAATGTTTGCCAACGCATGCACTAAAGGACAGCTAGGAAGGAAACATACCAAAGAGCTTACTGTGAAAATGGTTAGATTGGATAGGTTTTTCATTTTATTCTTAAAAATTTCTTGTAATGTCTACCTTTGCTAACAATTAGATGACTTTTTTGCTAATCAAAACTTGCCCATTTACTACAAATTCTGCGCATTTGCAGGAAACAGTCTTCTGGAACTAGGATGAGCAGTGTGAGTTTCCAAAGGATGCCAATAAAACTATCGTCTTCCTCCAGAATTTATATTCACAGCCACAGGACTGCTATCGTTAACTGAGTGCCTACTATGTGCCAAAATTGTGCAAACTTTTTTTTTCTTTACCTCCGAGACCTCATTCAAATTTCACACATATCCTGTGAGAAGACTGCCATTGTTACCTCACAACTGACTAAACCAAAGCTCAGAGACATAAAGGTACTTCTTCAAGAGTGCACAAGGAAAGATTTGAAATCCTAGCACTGATTTTCCTGAACCCCACAGCCCGATTCGTAACCATGAATCCCTGCCTCACATACGGTGGAAAAAGGATGTGGAGGTTGCAAGCTTGATTCAGACCCTTCTTCCCTTAGACGGCAGGACAGGCAGCCATCGCGCAAGAGCTGAGTAGCCCTCCTGGTGCACTTGCCAGGGTGTACACAAAAGGTGTGCCTCTGTTTGTCACAGCTATGTGAGCTGTTCTGTCATTTGTCCTTTAAAACTCTATTCTGTGATCATATTGCTTTTCCATGTAAGATGGGAAAAAAGCTCCAGCCACAAATTGCAGGCAGTGAGCTGAGCTGCTGACCAGATGTGGCTGTCTTAGAGCACTTGACCTGCTGGCTCATAATAGTTAACAGGGGCTCCCCTAGAAAAGCCTGTAGTTAATAACATCCCCTTCTTCAATCCCAGAGGCCTCTGCTTCCTCCAACTCCTATTTCTAATACCCCCAATGCATGCCAAACACAGAAGAGCTGAAAAATAGAATGGGCAGATGCCCACACAAACACATGCCCACTTGGCATCTACATTGAGGGCAAAAGAAGTGAATCTGGACATGAACATCAGCAGGAGAGATATGAAGTAGAAGACAGAACAGATCACCAGAAGGTGGCTGAACATTATAATGAGAGATGGAGACAAATGCGAGGCGTTCTTTAGAGAGGCAGTATCCAGTGAGGTTAACAGGCCCTGGCTATGTTAAAAGGGTGACTGAGTCGCCTATATTGCCTCTTGCCCCTCTAGACCCCAGAATTCATCATTTCTCTTACCCAATTCCCATCCTCACCCTCACCCCATCCCCACCACAGCCAATAGTCCCAGGGATGTGTATCTAACATCAGATACACCTGGGGTAGTCCCAGCTCTGCCATTTACAAGTCCTGGGACCTTGGGTAAGTCCCTTAATCTCTCCAAATCTCAGTTTTCTCATGTAAAATGTTATTAATTGTCACTTCCTTGGGCTAGTATGAGAATTAAATCAGAAGAAAAAAATCAAGAAAAAAATTGAGCACAGTGTTTGGTACATGCTAAGCACTCAGTAAATAATAACTATGTTATTATTATCATTTCTTGTCATTATTATTGTAGCAGTAAGCTCTTTTGTTTGGAGGTGTTTTTAATATCCAAGTTTCCTCCTGATTCAAGTGACAGGATGAAAGAGAAAAACTCTGGAAGCCTTTGAAATCATAGAGGAAGCACAGGGAAAGGTGGAGTCCATGTGGGCTTTTGTATCATCAACTCTGGCAATCTGAATCATATCTCTGCACCAAGCAAGTCTCACTTTTCTGAGCCTCAGTTTCCCCATCTGCAAAACAGTGATTGTAATATCACCCTCATTAGGTTGTTGTAAATATTGTAAAACACAGAGTAAAATTAAAGCATCTTTACTCATCAGTTATTGCCTTGTGGCTCTGAGTAATGTGATTTGTAAAAAGGGTGACTGAGTCGACTGTATTGCCTCTTGCCCCTCTAGACCCCAGAACACGTCACTTCTCTTATCCAGTTCCCGTCTTTACCCTCATGCCCACCATGGCCAATGGTCCCAGGGATGTGAAGTTTCTTTCATGTTCCAGCCTGTCTTGTCTCTGAAAGGTCTGCATTGTGCTGTGAGCGGCTTGTGCTGGCTAGGTTTCCTTGCAACAGTTCCACGGCCCCAGTTCCTTTTGCTCACTGCAAAAGGAAGTGCCCGGGTGCCAATGAGAAACAGATTTCTCTCCTTTTGAAGCCTCCCAAGGTTGGAGACTACTGGGTTGATCTGCCTTTTATTTTTATTTTTATTTTTATTTTTTTGAGACAGGGTTTCACTCTTGTTGCTCAGGCTGGAGTGCAATGGCACGATCTCAGCTCACCACAACCTCTGCCTCCCTGGTTCAAGCATTCAAGCTACTCTCCTGCCTCAGCCTCCCAAGTAGCTGGGATTACAGGCGCCCACCACCACACCTGGCTAATTTTGTATTTTTAGTAGAGACAGGGTTTCTTCATATTGGTCAGGCTGGTCTTGAACTCCCAACCTCAGGTGATCTACCCGCCTCGGCCTCCCAAAGTGCTGGGATTACAGGCGTGAACCACCGCGCCCTGGTCTGCCTTTTATATTCTTGATTATTAGGTCTAGGTTTGGCCCACAAAGGAATATTCTTCAAGACAAGAATGAGAACATAGAGAGAGAATAAGGTAGAGAGAAAATAAGGTCACATCTCAGAAAGCTTATCTCAGGGACAGCCTCTCTTGGGAATGATGAGGTTGGGGTAGACCTGGTTGGCCACTGGGATTTGAATGAAAAGGTTTTGGAGGCCAGGCGCAGTGGCTCACAGCTGTAATCCCAGTGCTTTGGGAGGCTGAGGTGGGCAGATCACCTGAGGTCAGGAGTTTGAGAACAGCCTGGCCAACATGGTGAAACCCCATCTCTACTAAAAATACAAAAAAGTAGCTGGACATGATGGCACGCACCTGTAATCCCAGCTACTCGGGAGGCTAAGGCAAGAGAATCGCTTGAACCCAGGAGGCAGAGGTTGCAGTGAGTCGAGATCATGCCACTACACTCTAGCCTGGGTGACAGAGCAAGACTCCGTCTCTAAAAAAATAAAAATAAAAAATAGAAATATGTTCTCGGGGAGAAAGCATCACTGAGGGTACTCTGAGAGGCAAGGAAGAGAATGTCCAGCTGATGGTGCCTCAAATGAATGGAAGGTTATTTTTCTCACGTAGCAAGAATCCTGTCTTAGGCAACTCTGGAGTTTTTGGGGTGGCTGATGATGGCAGGGATCTGGACAACCTCTATATCCTCCTGGCCTTCCCCTCATGGTCACAAAGTGGCTGCTGTCTCTGTTGACATCTAGCCCTCAGAAGATAGAGCTCAAAGTAGGGAGAAATGAGGCTGGTGGAAAAGGGTTCTGTCCTTACAGACATCTTTTATTATGGAAGGAAATCTTTTCTGCAAACCTGTATCAGGATGCTGCTTATATCTTACTGGCCAACTTTGAACCAATTGTCTATTCTGGACCAATCATTAGCCAAGGAAAAGGGGTTTGCTGATGTTGACGTAGATCAGTTGTGATCATTCTCTGGGGTTTGGCTGTCACTTAAATAAATTTGGGGGTTTGTAAGGGAAAAATAAAGAAAAAAGTGGTGAGGAGCTCAACAACAGCATCTGCCCCCAACAGAGATGCTCCTCAGAGACCACATAAGATCTGCCTTTATGTCTCCCCTGCCTAGTGTGGCAAAAAGTCAGGGCTCTGTAAATTATTGTTAAAAGGAATGAATGAAGGTATCCAATCTGGCTCCTACCTTAACAACTAGTATTTAGTAGGTGCTCAGTAAACATACGTTGAACAAATGAGAATGCCTGTCCAAGTGCCTTGAAATGAATTGAGTGTACTCAGTAATAATCTGTCAAATGAACTCTAATATCTGCTTTTCAGTTTCCTTATTTCTTAAAGAAATAGATGGAAACTAAGGGTAGGTGACAGGCTATTTATCCAAACTCTATTGAAAGAACCAGACGTGTTGATCATGGGGTGTTTTCAGGTGGTAATAAACATTATTTGTTAACAGCCGGTGAATAGATGTAATATTTTCATCTTTGCAGGCCATATGATCTCTGCTGTGACTCTTCAACTCTGCCCTTGTAGCATGAGAGCCCCTATAGACAACAGATAAATGAAAGGGCCTGGCTGTGTTTCGATAAAATTTTATTTACAAAAATAGACAGCAAGGCCAGACTTGGTCCATGGGCTATCATTGGCAGACTCCTGCTCTAGGCCACAAAAGCAGATCTGAACCTGGAACATGGCCATCTAGCTCTCAGATGCCAGCAGAAGGCCTGGATGTTTTGGCTTCTGTCTTAGGATCCTCTGAGAAGTAGACGCCAAAGCAGGGTTAGATGTGCAAGCAGTTAATTGAGGGAAGCGTCCATGAAGGATTAAGAAGAAAAAGGAGGAGTAGGCAGGGAGACCCTTCAGACCACAATGCAGGCCTGACACCTCTGAAAGGAGAAGGGGAAGGAAAGACTGGGAGGGAAGAGCCTTAGACCACTGTGCACTCCCAAGTCTTGAGCAGGCTAATGGGGAGACCTCAAGCTAACACCCTCTGTTAGAGGAGCCTGCAGCCTGCAGGCATGGCCTGAAATCATATCCTGTCCCCAGGCTTGGTCACTGGTTGCACACAGCTCAGGAGAAACATGATCTCAGCAAGAATGCAGTAGAGGGTC
Organism: Homo sapiens; assembly: GCF_000001405.40. Taxonomy (NCBI): domain Eukaryota; kingdom Metazoa; phylum Chordata; class Mammalia; order Primates; family Hominidae; genus Homo; species Homo sapiens. Next base: position 115,535,106 of record NC_000012.12, read on the forward strand.
CAGACAGGCAACTACTCTGAGGTTTTCTGTCAACTCTGCTCCCCAAAGCAGGAAATCTGTGGGGCTCATTTCACCTACAACCTCTCCAAAGGTCACTACTGGAGACATCATCAGAAAAGACATCCATAGGCAAGAGGACACATGGAAAATACCAGCTGGTGTCTTCCCATTCAGCTGAGGACCAGGGGCTAAAATGCAGAAAGCCCTAGACATAGTTGGTGGCACTTGCAAAGTTCTCCAGAAGGTTACATTTACTACTGTTGTTCTAGGAACCTTAATGTAGTCTTGGGATATCCTAGTGCTGAGAAAGTCCATCCCCATTCTGCAAGACCCTGGAGGAGTGAGAGTCTATTGCTTTCCTGGGAGAGGCTTGATCCTCTAACTACCTAGATGGAGCAGGATTTCTCAGAGTGTGTCTGTGGAACCCCCATCCACAGAAAGGGGAGGCCGTGTATAATATGCTAAGCAAAATTACTCCACATTCAACTAAGTATGAGAATCATTTCTTTAAATAAAATTAAACAAATTCTTTGCAAATCTCCTCAGAGTCTTTGGTCCAAAATTCTGAGAGTTTTCCAAACTTATATTATCATGAAGTTTTTCGTTTCTTTTCTTTTCTTTTTAAATTCAGCAGCTCATAGATCTAACACAGTGGAAAATCCAGTGTAAAAATTACAGGTCCAGAGCGAGTCTGTGGAAATCATCCTGATTGTCTCTTTGATGAGTTTACCATACTCTTAAGGAATATCCAGATAATAAGAATTACCACTGACCTAGCGCAGTGGCTCATGCCTGTAATCCCAGCACTTTGGGAGGCCAAGGTGGGAGGATCGCCTGAGTTCAGGAGTTCAGGACCAGCTGGCCAACACAGCAAAACCCTGTCTCTACAAAAACAAACAAACAAAAATTAGCTGGATGTGGTGGTGTACGCCTGTAGTACCAGCTACTCAGAAGGCTGAGACAGGAGAATTGCCTGAGCCCAGGAGGCAGAGGGTGCAGTGAACCAAGATCACACCACTGCATTCCAGCCTGGGCAATAGAAGAGACCCTGTTTAAAAAAAAAAAAAAAAAAAAAAAAAGAATTACTACTGATCTTTGATGGTCTTCTATAGAAGTAATGCTGCATCATGGCTTAGAGCATGGACTGGGAGACCAAGCCTATTTGTCTCAGTTTGCTCATCTGTAAAATGGGGATAGCTATCATCCCTACCTCACAAGGTTAGTGTAAGGTCAAAATGAACCATCATGTGTAAAAACATTTGAAACAGGCACTTAGAAAGTAGTATGTGTCATTCGCTGCTACTTGTTAGGAATTTTATATATGTCATTTTTATACCCCTAAGAGCTCTTAGAAATTGGCTCAAAATGCTAAACAAAACCAAGTTAACATTTGTGACTTTGAAAGGGTTTTAGTGAAATTCAGGACCTGAGTTGAGGTGAGACGATTTCCTGGACAGACAATTAGAGGTCGTGAAACCACCAGAGTATGTGTTTGCGGCATGAATCCAGGTGGTGGCTTGACAATTTTCTCCTGGGCCCAGATGCATCGGAAACTCTACAGGGAAACATGGAGAGGCCAGAGCCCGATCCACACTTGGTGACATTCCCCAGAATCTTTCCAAAGTGTCAAAGGATATTGGAACCATGCTAAGGAATGCAGTATCATTTTAAACATTGTGAAAATTGGTCACTTTGGAAACAATTTAGTTCTACTCTGTGTATTAAATCATTTCCCCATTTTATGAGTTATATAGAAAAATAATAATGAATTATTTCCCCCCAAGGTACCAGGAGAAATTGTGTTGCAATAATAGGTTATGATCTCTTGTACTATTTAATAGGTATTCAAGGTTGTTTTATTTTAATACACAAATAGAGAGATTTAGTGAAAAGGTGTGATGGGAAATACATGTTCCTGGATCATCGAGGTTTTTACATTGGGGTCCCTTCCACCTAACTCCTTATGAGAAATTACATCTCTGTTATAGGAGTATTTAGGAAACCAGGGTACCGGGTAAGTAAATTACCCTTTGGGCATGAGTTAAGTGTTTGGGAGAAGTTCACTGACTGCTGTGGGGTATTTCAGTGAATTACAGTCCCAGGGACCTGGTGATGGGTGGGGGGGGATGGTAAATCCTTCTTACAATCAACTCTTGCTTTACTCTGTCCATTGAAAGAGCAGCAGCAGCAAGGATCCCATAGAATCTGAGATGACTCTAAAGTTGATTCTGGTTGACTCAGGAAAGTACATTTCATACAGAGATATTTGGCTCTACACTGAATTTACTATATAAAATGGAAAGAAAGCACGAGAAAAGACAGAACAATGGAAACAATGGAAGGGAAGCAATATTGTGGAGTACCTACTATGTGTCAAGTACTGACAATTACAAACATGGTCATACACAAAACCTAATGTCCGCCCACATGGAGTGTGGCAGGCAAGACATGCGAGTAATGTTCAAAGTGTTTGACAACTGCAGTTGATAGACTCCTAAGATTATCCCACTTATCCCAACCTCCTGGTATTCACAATATTGTATAAACCTCTTCCCTTGAGTAAAATGTTCCAATAGAATACAACTTTGTTGAAGGGATGTCAGTTCCATGATTAGGTTACAATAAGTTGGGACTATAGTCACGCTGGCCAACTCTCAATGTGCACACCTTCTCAGTTTGCATTTTTTGATACAACAAGATGACAGTTGAAGAGGTCCATGTGGCCAGGAGCTGAAGATAGCCTCCAACCAACAGCTGGTGAGGAAGTGAGACCCTCAGCCTTATAGCTCACAAGGAACTGGGTCTTCCCACCATCACATGGGCTTGAAAGCAGACCTTTCCCCAGTTGAGCCTTCAGATAAGACCCTGGCCTTGGATGACACCTTGATTGGAGCCTTGTGAGAAACCTTAAGATAGATCACTCAGATAAGCCCTGCCCAAATTCCTGACCAACAGGAACTGAGATAATAAGTACATGTTGTTTTGAGTCACTAAATTAGGGGGGATTTGTTATGCAACAAGAGATAATGCAAAAGTCAACATAGCGCTTTCTTTGGGGAGTCAAATCAGGCAGAGACACTCAAGAGCAACTGAAGTGTCAGGGATTAACCCAACAAATTGATGTGTCACTGTATGGTCTGGAAGTGACAAGGGAGGTGCTGAGGTAGCCACTGGGTAGAGGAGGACACTTAGGGAGATCAAGGAAATAGTTGTCTACTAGATGATATGATAATATTTCAAAATTGTAACAACTAGAATGGTCTCACCAGTACAAACTTATTATTCATATATGTATAAAATTTCTGCACCAAATCTGACTTTTGTCTGGGTATGGGGAGGTGGAAAAAGGAGGAAACAGGAGTTAAAGAAAAAAAAAAAAGCATGCTGCTAGTATGATGGATATTCTGAGTCGCAAATGTCCAGGGGTGCACTGGGGCCAGCTTGAAAGTCTCACAAGAGTCAATTATTCCATATTCAGGAAATATACAAGCCAGTTGTTTATCATCACCACTGGTAAAATTTAAATTATATATACTTACATTGCAATAAAGTATATTAAAGACAAACGTAATAATTATTAGTCAAAATCAGCATTTTCTGATCATTTTATACACTTTTCTATTACAGTTATTTTCCTCTATTATATCTGCATAGTAGAAATACAGAGTAACACTGTGTTCCTGCACATCTCTCCCCAAATTTGTGTTCAGTGCTATTACATTGGTAGCTTGAAAGTGGTCACAGTGGTAGGGGTATTTACACCACAGAAATGGGCAGACACTATAAATCATGGTCTTTTTTTTTTTCACCTTTCTCAAGAGAGAACTAGTTGGTAAACATTTATCAATATGCCACTGGCAATGGTAAACCAAAGTCACTTCTATACTCAAGGAAAAATCAGGGTAATGGAGAAGTAAGCAGTTAAGTACAGTACAGTGGCTGGTATTGTGAGATAACAAAACACATGGGAACATGGAGGCAGGGACCTAACCCAGGCAGGAAGAGTGAGGTCAGGGAAGGCTTCCTGGGGAGGAAGGATGAAAGTAAGAAGTGGGTGAGTGTGGGCCAAAAGATCTCACTGGAGCCAGGTGTGGTGGAGTGCACCTGTAATCCCAGATACTCAGAAGGCTGAGGCGGGAGGATCACTTGAGCCCAGGAGGTTGAGGCTACCCTGGGCAACATAGCAAGAACACTGACTCCAAATAAGAAAAAAAAAAAAATAGAAAAAAAAAGCCCAGCCAAAGTGGCTCACACCTGTAATCCCAGCACTTTGAGAGACTGAGGTGGGCAAATCACTTGAGCCCCAGATGTTCAAGACCAGCCTGGGCAACATGGCAAAACCTTATCTCTACAAAAAAAACACAAAATTAGCCAGGTGTGCTGGTATGCACCTGTATTCCCAGCTTCTCAGCTACTTGGGAGGCTGAGGTGGGAGGATTCCTCAGGCCCAGGAGGTTGAGGCTGCAGTGAGCTGTAAGCCCTGAACTATGATCATGCCTCTGCACTCCAGCCTGGATAACAGAGTGACATTCTGTCTCAAAAAAAAAAAAAAAAAAAAAAAAAAAAAACCAAAGGATTTCATTGGAAAAAAATACTAACATGGAAGTCTGGAGTTGTGGATTCAGTTTTCATGTCTGCTGTGTAACACAGATAAGTCTGATAAGGAGATGAGTTGGGAGCAGGATACCATTTAAATTTTGTCCAGGTCTAAAGGCTGATGACTTGTATACTAAAATGAGTGTCAACTCCCGAATATTTATAAGCCTTTGGCATGTGTAGAGAAGGATGGTTGTTTTGAGATATAAAGTAAACAAACTTGTAAACAATCACAAGGTCTCAAGAAATCATATTTTCTCAGAAATTCTCACTTTTCCACTCACATACATGTATTACCTCCACTCCCAAGATCCAGTAAACTCATAACAGAAAACTTATGATTTTGTCTGTCTTTCATCCTGTCTTTGTAGCCCCATCAAGCTTAGTTGACCTTGAGTATATCATGCCTTAATGAGTACAGACTCAGCCATGCTTTGGCCATTTAAAAGCCTTTTCCTGTCCTCAAAGCTTGCACCTACACCAGGCAGAAGGCATGAAGAAGTCTGTCTGACCATTGGCTGCCTCCAATAACCTAGCAACACGTGAGTTGCTTCTAGTCATCAAGACCAATAGCCCGGCAACCAAGAAGTCCCAAGGTCACAAGGTATCCAAGCACAAGGACTTCGAATATTGTCATCTGGTGGGAAATGAAGGGAAACATTAGGAGGCAAAAGATGAAGGATCTGGAGAAGCAGAACCAGAATTCAAGCACAGAAAGAAATACCAGCTAGATGGAAATAAATTTTCCTCTTTGACCTCAAAACATCATCCCTGTTTTGGCTTTCCAGGGTAGATAACTGGTGGAATAGTTAATGCACTATTCTGGAGACTTTCAAGAAGCAGGAAAGACTTTGAGACATTACAGTTAAGCAGTTTTTAGCATGATTTCAGAGCTGGAAGGCAGAAAGGAGCCAACATGCCTGGCTTAGACCAGACATGATTCAGGGATCCACCTTCTTGTGAAATGGGAGCTGAGGAGGGACTCGTCTTCTTGTGAGGTGCATGACTGACCAAGTAATTCATGGAAAACATCAGAGCTCTATTTCTAAGGCAGAAAAGACGGAATGGCTATTCAGTAGACAACCAAGATCCCTTTATATCTCCACCCTCTTAGTCTCCTCCTTTCTCAGATTTTGTTCCCTAACATTGAAAGCTTCGGTGCTAGGCATCATGCTAAGCACTTCAATACATTACCTTGTTTAATCTTCACATTAACATTACAGGTAAGTATCATTTTCATCCTTATTTACTGATGAGGAAACTGTGGCTCATAATGGTGACACAGCTTTCCTAATACCTTAGGAAAACCACAGTTACAAAGTGGTAGAGTCAGGACTCTTGAAATCGACAAACTCTAGGGTTGTGCTGTCTAATACGGGAGCCACTAGGCACATGTGACTCTTTAATTTGGAACTACAGTACAGATGGTCTTTGTCTTACAATGGTTTAAGATTTGTTGACTTTACGATAATATGAAAGTGATATACATTCAGTAGAAACCATACTTTGAATACCAATCATTTTGTTTTTCACTTTTAGTGTCATATTCAACAAATTCCATGAAATATTCAATGCTTTATTTTAAAATAGGCTTTGTGTTAGAATATTGCCCAACTGTAGGCTAATGTAAGTATTCTGAGCATGTTTAAAGTAGGTTAGGCTAAGCTATGCTGTTTGGTAGGTCAGGAGCATTAAATGCATTTTTGACTTATAGAATACTTTCAACTTATAATTATTTTATTGGGATATAACTTCATTGTACACCAAGGACCACCTATACTTAAAATTTAAAATGCAATTCCCTAGTCCCACTGGCCACATTTCAAGTGCTCAAAGAGCAGTATTAGTCTGGTAGCAACCATATTGAAGGGTGCGGATACAGAACATTCAAATTATCATAGAAAGTTCTGGGACCCAGGTTCTTAATCATCCACTAAAATGACTTCACATGATTTATATCTCATGGACTGGCAGTTTTTGTGAAGGTTTTGAAAGCAACACCTTCAAAGGCAAGAAGATTCCGCCTCTTCCCACCCCACTTCCAAGAAAAAGACTCTACCTCAGCTTGAAGCTCCCAACTCTTTTCTGCAAAACTTATCAACAACCCGCCTAACCGGTGAAGGGAAAAATTGAAATCCTGGGAGTGGCTTGGAGTAGGAAGAATAGAAAAGCAACAATACAGTAGTAGCGTTTCAACTTGGAGACACTCATAACTGCACTGTGGTTTCCCTGTTTCCCAACACCCTCTCCAGCAAAACCCCTGCCAGGCCCACAATCCCAAGCTCCACCTAGTTCTCACCCAAACTGCCAATCCACAACAAATATGTTTCCCAATTCATGACAAGAAGACACTGTGTCAATAGCAGGTGACATTGTGGTGTTAGGTACAACACCCGATGAAAACCCAAAATACTCTTATTGTTCCACCCTTGCAAAAATTCCTCACGGGACGGAGCACATGACTCAGTTTGTGGTCTGGTTAATTCCATTTCCAGACACTGGTGAGTTAGGGAACTGAGAATGATTCTTCTTTAAAGGTGTTGTAAAAACCACAGTAATATTTAAGATAACACACGACTCTTTTCCTTTATTCATCTCCCTTCCTGCTCTTCAGGGCGCCAAGTTAAGGCTGCCAGGACTAAGCTGGCCTCAAGAAGATGGGTTGTGTCCAGGAAAGAAAATATACTCAGAAGACCCAAATCTCAGCTGGAATCCTTCCCCTGCCATTTATCAACCCTCCAAGAAAGGAAAGTCACTGTTCTTTCAGATTCCATCTCTATAAAAAGGAGCTAAAATGCCAACCTTACCTGGTTATTGTGAGGATCAGAGGAGGCGATGGTTATAAAATAGTGGCACATAGTAGGTCTTCAAATAAATGTTGCTTCCGCCTTCCCTCTAAGTATTGGATATTTACATTAGAAATTTTTGTAGAAATGAAGGTAAATTTAGCAAATATTCTGGACAACGAACCAGAAATACCAAATCCTGGTAGTTGCTCCTTCCCAAAAGAGTGTCATCACAATGCCAGACGTATGGGAAGCAAAATAGCATTGTTATTAGTTGAGGCTTTCGTGACAAATCCCACGGCAGGACTTAAGAGTCACCGGGGCTGGGTCACACCACTGTGAATGGTTTCTTTTCTAAAGCTTGCAGTCTAAACAGCCTCGGGCCAAAGTCAACCTTGAATCCAGCTCTCCTTCACCTTGTATTGCCTCAGCTGCAAACTGACACTAGACATGTAGGGGCGGGGAACAGTTTCTAAGAGGCAAGGCTGTAGCTCTGTGTTACCTAGCCAGAAAGACATAAAAGAGAAGAAAGACAAACAGACAGAGGATAATGCCCTCCCCTGAAAGCCCCAGCCCTAGAAAATGAAACCCAGCCAGAGTCCTCAAAGATTACGGATCAGATCCAAGTTATTCCTGGTAATAGAGGCAGTGTTTCTTGCCCTTGTATCTGATGAAGAGCATGGCAGTGGGGTGGGGAGGAGCCTCAGACTACACTTAGAAGGCTCCAATTGGCCTAATTACCTAAAGACTCATCCTATGATAATTCCAGGCTGGCTTTACAAAGCCCCTGAGGATGTAGGTAGCTTTGTACAGCTGTCTACCTCCAGTACAGCTTCTTGAGTCCAACCCAAGAGACTATGATCAGAAGGTCCAGAGTGGGCCCTGGGAATCTGCATTTAACAGGTTGAACGCACAGTCAGGTGCAGGAGAGACTCTTGTGGTTGGTGATTTGTTTATCCAGTTGTTTAGTTGATCTTCTGATGACTCATCCATTTCTCAGTCTGTTCCCATTTACATTTTCCTCCTGGGTCTTGCCATTGGCCCTTTCTTTAAAAACGTCTGCTTCTTCTTGGGTCCAGTGCCATGGCCTCCTCTTAAAAAATCTTTCCCTTCCTATCCACTTGTCATTCAAAGCCACCATCTTGGTGAAAGTGGATTTTAGTAGGGAATACCATTTCTGGCTATGTATCTTTGAGACGGTTTTGTGACTTGGGAAATGTGTGTCCATCTGACAACTGAGTATGTTGGAAAAATCTGGTAAGAACTTATCATGGAAATATGTGCATAATATAAGCTCAAACATAAGTTTAAGGATCAAAGAACAACAGACCACATGTGTAAATTCATGCATGCACACACATGCACACACACAGAGAAAATACAATCAAAACATAAGAACATTCTGTGCATGCACATGAAACCCATATGGACCACGGAAAAGTCAATACGCACATTGACCTACATTTCTCTAGGCAGGCTGCAACCCCCACAGAGGCATCTAGTTTCCTTCCTCGGGGTAAGACAATAGAATAGCAGCATGCAAAGCCCACCAGCATAATTCACGGTAACCCCCATTCTTTGCTCACACTCAACCTTAATCCATCAGCCTATCCCTGACCTTTTACTCTAAATTCCTTCTTTAACTACTCTATCCTTTACCACCTCTCCAGCCATCCTTAATCCTCCTCCATGGTGCAGGAGGATTATTAAGTGAATCTCAGGGATGACATGACCACATCTTTCAAGTAAAGTCACCTTCAAAGGCTATCTATAGAAAACATTATGACGAGAGAGAGATCAACTGATGATCTGTCTATCTATAGCACAGAAACTGCAACCCATCTCAGGAATATCAATACAAGTAAAATATCCTAGGCTTTTCTATTTAATGTCTACCTCCAAAATGCTCAGTCATGTCAGAGATAAGGAGAGATGTCATCTGCAGTCTATGACAGAAGCATGGAGGTACACAAGTACATGCTTTAAATTGGAAAGTAATGTAGAGACGGGAAGGAGTAAAGCAGTACATACATGTGTGCCCCACGTGCGCCAGCCCCCTATGCTGTCAACAGAGCTCCAGCTCCAGGTGCCGAGAGGAGACTGTGCTGTCTCAGCTACTGTGTGCTCATCTGCATGTGTTCTCTTGCAAAGAGACATATTGGAGATGCTCCTTCAACGACTTGCACTGAGATGTGTTTCTGCCCAGGGGTCAGGCATAGCAGCGCCCCCATAGATTTCCAGACCCATGAAATGTTAAAATGGAAAAGGACTAGAGTGTCCCAAAGTATATGGTAGGGAATATCAGCTGCATTGCATGTAAAATCATATAAAGGAGGGAAACAGAGAGATGGGAAACTCTGCCTCAAATAAAGTGAAGCTTGTTTCTTTCTTACAGGACTTTTCAGAAGCTTTAGTGTCTAAAGTTCATTGTGAATTCTGAAAGGGAGATAGAACGGTCAATGTTTCCCAAGCTGACTTGAGCACAGAATCTATTTCTAAGATTCCACTCTCAGGACAACTGTCTTGAGAAACATTTTGAGACAAAATGCAAATTCAATCTAACTCTTTTCACCCACTCGACAGGTGGAAAAACTAAGGTCCAAGAGCAAACAGCTTAGTTGTAAATGGCACACCGGTAGTCATAAATGGCACACTGGTTAATGGAAGCCCACGTCTACTGACTTCTGGTTAGGATCACATCTTCACATGTCTCTCATGACATATGAGATTCTGGGTGAGGAATTTAAGTCATTCATTCACTCAGTGAGTGTTTCTTAGGCACCAGTTCTGTGCCACCTCCTGGGCTGGATTCCGGAAGGACAAAACAAACAAAAAGGCATGATTCCTGCCTTCAAGGAGATTATAATTTACTGGAACACATAAGAAAGCAGTCAATTATGGCACAGGAAGTTCCTGCTTAGTTTCAATATGCACAGTTCCATATGCATAGTTCCCATATGCATAGATTCTACTTATTGCAAATTTTAAATAACATCAGTTCCCCAATGACATGGTTCAAATTTAAGTTACTGCAGTATATTAATTTTGTGATTGTATAAAATACAACCTTTGCTGCCTTTCAGTCACAGCAGAAATAACAGACGTGTATATTGAGCAGTGACTGATCATGCCACTCTGTTCCAAGTCTGCAGGCAGCTGGTCACTGTGGGTCTGTTATTCAGGTCAGACATGGACAGCAAAACATGTCACTGTGTTGCCTCCTTGTCCCTTAGGGATCAACCTACATGTCATTTTATACAACTGTATCATCAAAAGAAGGAATTGACCAACAAAGATGAAAGTGAAGCAAGAAGGCTGATAAAGCTGGAAGTTAAATTTACATAAAATGTAAACAGAGTTACAGAAAACATATAGCTGACTGTGGAAATATGGACACTGCTGCCATGTGAGGGACCCTGGATAGACAGCAAGTGGAACTTGGTGAAGGTGAACTTATTGCCATAAATGAGGAAAGTGATGAAAAAGCTGAAGGTGTCCTAGAAAAGGTAATATCAGTAAGAAATTTCACATTAAAGGAACTCTTGGAGACATTCCACAGCATTGAAAAGTCAAAGAATAAAATGCTGGAAGTGAATTCAAACCTTGAAAGGAGTCTGACTTGTCAAGGTGTTGAAGAGACGTTCACTTTCCTTACAGATCAAGTGAAGGCAAGCGTTGTTCAAACCACTAGATAAGACTTTAACAAAGAAATAAGACATAGTTCTCAATATTTTTTGTGTTTTAAAGTACAGTGTACAAAATAAGAGTTTTAATTGTTTGCATTTTTCTATACACTTATATTCAACAGTAAAAGGATTTTTACTGTTTGGAGAAAAAAATCAAAGGTCACGGCACAATTGTAATTTTTCCTATTGTTTAAGATTGCTTTGCATGGTTTCAGCCCTCATGTTTCCATACTTTTGTGCAAAGAGAGGGCACCTGTACATAAACACACTCTGGGCCTCAATTTTTCTGCTTTAAGAGAAAATCCATTAGCATACCAATAGAAAAGCAGAGGCACACCCAAATGAAGATGATTCCAGACGGGTTTAGTTTTGAAGGTTCTATACTTAAAAGCAGAAAGATGTAGGTGGAAGGCAAGCACAAAGTGTATACAGAAACCTGGAGCTAGTGACCACTGACCTGTTACCATCCCTGGGCCCCCAGGGAAAATGGAAGGAAGCTAACCTGAACCCAGAAAAGAAAGTGATGTTGAGCAGTGTGCCTCTGTTTGAGGAGGAGGGCCAGCCTGAGAGACTCTCCAGGAAGGGGGACAGGGGACTGAATACCCAACCCTCACTCTCCTCCTCCTTCCCTATTCCCATTGGCTGAACTCACCGTATTAGCCTGTTCTCACACTGCTGATAAAGACATACCCAAGACTGGGTAATTTATAAAGAAAAAAGAGATTTAATGGATTCACAGTTCCACATGCCTGAGGAGGCCTCACAATCATGGTGGAAGGCAAAAGGCACATCTTACATGGTGGCAGACAAGAGAGAATGAGAACCAAGCAAAAGAGGTTTCCCCTTATACAATCATCAGATCTTGTGAGACTTATTCACTATTATGAGAATAGTATGGGGGAAACTGTACCCATGATTCAATTATCTTCCACCAAGTCCCTCCTACAACATGTGGGAATGATGGGAGCTATAATTCAAGATGAGATTTGAGTAGGGACACAGCCAAACCATATCACTCACTTGGAAGCCAGAAGGCTTTGTTGACTGTGTATAGTCAGCAAGTAGCAGCCCCTGGGACACAGAACAGGGTACAGAAGGGTAATATAAGATTAGAAGGGCCAAAAGGAAGAGATCTCAAATAGGGCCCTCTTTAGAGAAAATTATTTCATATAACAGGTAGCCAAAACCTCCCAAATTAGCTTAAACTCCAAAAGGGAATTAGGAGAAGGAAAGACAGCTGTCTGGCAGAAGTCAATGCAGGAAGGACAGTTTGGCTCTAGGAGGAACTAGAAAGGCATCATGAGCCCAGACAACCTCTCTCCAAGCTTCTGTCTCTGTGACCACCCGGTCTTTGCTTCCTTTTGTCTCTCCATGGCCAAGAGGCTTTCTCTATCCCCCCACATCATAACAGAAATTAGCATCCCATACCATGCAGCCACCAATAGAGACTAGCTAATGTCTCTTTGTCCTGTGAGAAAGAACCTGATTGGCCCAACTTTGTTCTAAAGCTGATGCCTGATCCCATGAGCTGCAACCAGGGAGGATCACATGATACTAGCATGGCTGCTAAGGATCATTCTGGTGTATGAGAGTCACTTTCTCAGAAATGAAGAGTTATGGGCTGGACAGCAACCCGAAAGGTGCTCATAACTGCACTTGTTCTATTTTTATTCAATAAACTCTTAAATATACAATATTTTTTTAATGTGCCAGGCACAATTCTAAGTCTTTCCTTCATTTACAACAACCCTATAAGACACAGCCTATTGTTGGCTCTTTCTATAGGTGAGGAAATTGAGGCATAAAGATAGTAAGTAATTTTTCCAAGGTCACATAGCTGGCAAGTGGCAAAGTTGGGATTTGAACCCACACAGTGTGACCCTAGGATTCATGCTTTTAACTAGTATGTTCTATTATCTCTGAAGTTTAAGTAGAGGGAAACAATGGTCTCTATCCATTTGCTTCTCGAAACTTTTCAAGACTTAAGGTAAAGGGGTACCCCACAACCCTAAAAAGTCGTGTGTTGAACTAACAGAGTAAACTATGAGCCTACAATGGTGAAGGAATTGATCCTCCCAATCCACCCCATCTCTTCCCAAAACCCCGACTTCTATTTGCAGGTTCAGAGAACAGAAATGAAAGTGTGACCCAGAGAAATAGAATTCTCACTCTACTCACCATCTGAAAATAATCAACTATCATATAATTCAGAAAACAAAGCATCATAGCAAACTATAAAGAGAAAACAATGCCCAAGAGCCATAGAGTTTAATCTTCCTCTTCCAATAGGTGTCATGACAGCAGATCTACACTGGATCTTGGCACCTTTCCCACATGTTTCTGTTCAAGGGCCCTGTGTCTACTCTGGGCAATTTGGGCCTGTCCTCTTTGAGGCAAACCAGCCTTCTCTGGGGAAACCTCATTAAGTCCCATTGCTGCAATTAGATGGCAGATGCTGGTGACTCTCAAATCTCCATGCTGTTCTGAAAACTAAGGAGCCATCTGCCCACTGGCCATCTCCACTTGGAGGTGCCACGCAGGCCCTTCAAATGTAACATGTCCCAAACCAACCCCATCATCTTCTTTCCCAGACTCACCTTTCTCTATTGGTCCCCACCTCAAGGAATATCTATCATGTATCCAACCACCAAGTCTGAATTGTAGGAATCATTCTTGACCTCTTCTTCTCCCTAACTTACCTTTCTCACATCTATTTAGTAAGTCCTGCTTATCTGACTTCCTGAATATCCCTGAAACTCTTCCACTTCTTTTTGTCCTCTCCACCACTTTCCCACTTGAGGCCACCATCTTGGTTGCTTGGATGACAGCAGTAGTCTTCTGTCAACAACCATTGCCTCTCTTCAATCCATTTCACAAGCTGCAACCAGAGTGACCATTCTGAAGTGAAAATCTGATTATAGCTCAGCTTTTCTTAACTGTCTTCAAAGTTTCTCTATTATTCTTGGATCAAATCCTAAAGTTTCTCTATTATTCTTGGATCAAATCCTAAATCCTTAAAACGATTTATTTGCCTGCACAGTCTGGTGCCCAGTCACCTCTCCAGTCTTCTCCCATACTACCCTTCCTTTCACACAGTGTACTCCATGTAGACTAAACTCTCAATCATTGCACATGCCTCTGGTAGGCAGCCCCAAAAATAGTACCAATGATCCTTCGTCCTGAATTCACACTTGTGACTGTGGACTCAATCCCCTTGAGTGTGGACTGGACTCAGTGACTCACTTCTTTTTTATCCTTTAATTTTTAACAAGCATAATTTCAACATTTATTTTACATTCAATGGATACATGCGTAGGTTTGTTACATGGTTATATTGTGTGATGCTGAGGTTTGAGTAATGACTGATCTCATTACCCAGGTACTGAACATAGTACTCAATAGTTAGTTTTTCAACCCCTTCCCTCTCTCCCACCTCTAGCAGTCCCCAGTGACTATTGTTGCCATCTTTATGTCCGTGAGTACCAGTGTTTGGCTAGCACTTATAAGTAGTGACTAACTTCTAATGAACAGAATATGGCAAAAGTGATGGGATGTCATCCCAAGATGAGGTTACAGAAGGACTCTGAAATTTATTATATACTCATATTCTCGCTCTCTCTCTCTCTCCTGCAATGAAAGCAAGCTGCCATGATGCTAGTAGTTCTTCTGAAGATGCCCAAGTAGCAAGAAATTGATACCTCCAGCCAACAGTGAAGGCCTTATGCAAAGATACATCAGATTCCAAACCCATAATACTGATATAATAAATGTTTGTTATTTTGCTCTATTACATTTTGAAGTATGGCATTTTTACACAGCTTTGTGTGACTAATAAAACTCCATAGATTCTCTCGTTTCTGAGCTACTGCCCATGCTCTTCCCACCTCCTAGATTGCTCTTCCCACTCCTCCAATTCCAGCCCATTTCCCCTAACTCCAATTAATTCTCAGATCTCAGGTTAGATGACACCTTGTCCAGGAAGACTTCCCTGACTTTCGTCATCATAGTGTGACAGTAAGCTCTATAAGGGCAGGAACCACGGCTGTCATGATTCACCTTGGATCCCCTGTATTCACAAAAACACATAGATGTGTGATGAATACTTCCCAAATGAATGAAGGCCATAGAAAGGCTTTTCCTCTCCATGCTGAGCTGAATTTTTTCCTTGTGCCAAGCAAATGACTCAATATTGGGTGGACACTGACTGTGTCCTGAGCTTCTAGAAGTCGTGTTTTTAATGTATGCAGTTGTAATACTGACCTCATATCTAATATTTATACTGACTTTAAACAGCTCCTCTTCTCCTTCATTCTCTTTTTCACTTTCACAATAACCATGGGAGGCACGATTATCCTCATTTTATGCATAGGAAAAGTTAAAAAAGGACTTCAGTAAGTTTCATTGACAACCAACTGCAAACCCCAGGTCTCAGAACTGGTCTCCAAACTCAGCATAGAACTGCCTTCAGGAGAAGGATACCAGATGAACATACACCCTAATTACCAAATAATTTTTTCTAAAAATAAATGCAGATTGCCTCCACATATATGACTGATGGCCATACTTCATCACCCAGGCATGTTGGTAAGCAAATAAACTACAATATGAAATTTCTAATCTCTAAGGGGGTCAGACAGCAGAATCAAGGAAATAAAGTAAAACATAATTAAATCAGATCCGGAAAAAGGGAAGTTATGAAAAAAATCAGTAAAAAGTAAAGCATTTGAAAAGAAATTAATTTTGATGTTTTCAGATACATAGTGGTAAGCTTATAAATTGTTAGGAAAAAAACTACAGTTTAATAAGCAAAATAGATTTGTTTTTCTTTTGAGACAGGGTTTCACTCCTGTCATCCTGGCTGGAGTACAGTGGAGTGATCTCGACTCACTGCAACCTCCGCCTCCCAAGGCGCAAGCAATTCTCCTGCCTCAGCCTCCCAAGCAGCTGAGATTACAGGCATGTGCCACCATGCCCAGCTAATTTTTGTATTTTTAGTAGAGATGGGGTTTCACCATGTAAGATTAATTAAAAAAAGAAAAAAAGACCATTCACACTAGGCTGCTTTGCAGACCAATGTATCAAGGATGACGTTCCAGGCTGGACTTTAGGTCTCTGAGTAGTTTGCAAGACACTTGGTTAGATTTTTTTTTTTTTTTTTTTGAGACAGAGTCTTGCTCTGTCACCCAGGCTGGAGTGCAGTGGCACGATCTCGGCTCACTGCAAGCTCCGCCTCCTGGGTTCATGCCATTCTCCTGCCTCAGTCTCCTGAGTAGCTGGGACCACAGGCGCCCGCCACCATGCCCGGCTAATTTTTTGTATTTTTAGTAGAGACAGGGTTTCACCTTGTTAGCCAGGATGGTCTTGATCTCCTGACCTCGTGATCCACCTGCCTCGGCCTCCCAAAGTGCTGGGATTACAGGCGTGAGCCACCGCGCCCAGCCTGATTTTTTTTTATTCTATAGAAACTCTACTCACTTCCTACCAGTAACATTTTTAAATCACGGTTTTGAATTAAGTACAATTCAATTGAAAAATCACAATAACACCAGTTTCAGAGTCTGTACAGTGGGGAAAATACTTTGTAAACAATGACTGTTGCTTCGTAAATGCCTGTGAGTAGCTCAGATACATTTGTCTTATGCTGACTGCCATTCAGTTGTTAAAAAGGTTCCAGAATCTATGCCAAAAACTGGAAAAGTAAGCCAAAGGGTGCAGCGGATATGCAAGTGAGCTTGTGTGGCCCTCATCATATTTTTAAAATTAGTTATCAGTACTTATTTAGTTTTATTTTTTTATTATTATTTTTTTAAACAGTTTTACTCTGTCACCCAGGCTGGAGTGCAGTGGTGCGATAGGCTCACTGCAACCTCTGCCTCCCAGGTTTAAGCAATTCTCCTGCCTCAGCCTCCCAAGTATCTGGGATTACAGGAGCCCGCCACCATGCCCAGCTAATTTTTGTATTTTTTGTAGAGATGAGGTTTTGCCATGTTAGCCAGGCTGGTCTCGAACTCCTGACCTCCAGTGATCCATCCGCTTTGGCCTCCCAAAATGCTGGGATTACAAGCATGAGACACTCCGTCTGGTCAGTTATCTATATTTACATATTAGAGGAGGTTCATTAAAATCCAGCTTTACAGCATCTAAACCCACATCCTCTTACGACAAATGCTGGCCAGAACTCAGTAAGGACTTCCCCTCCTTCCAGGGCATGTGGCTTCTGTTTCTCCAGGATTCAGTGCTCCCTGTTTATTCTGTGCCCAGCCTGTACCAGGCATTTACAGTACTTGCCTGGCTCCTACGGGCATGGGGTTGAGATTCCTACGCTGAAAATGATGACCACCAATTTCTTAAAATCCTATTGGTTGAAACAGAGATTTATTTACTCAAGTGACCTATAGGAAAAGTGAGGGTTTTTTTTGTTTTGTTTTGATTTTTTTTAATACAAAATGGAACCTGGGTTGGCCAGGTGCGGTGGCTCATGCCTGTAATCCCAGCACTTTGGGAGGCCAAGGCAGGTGGATCACTTGAGGTCATGAGTTCAAGACCCACCTGGCCAACATGGTGAAACCCCATCTCTACTAAAAATACAAAAATTAGATGGGTGTGGTGGCAGGTACCTGTAATCCCAGCTACTTGGAGGCTGAGACAGGAGAATCGCTTGAACCCAGGAGGTAGAGGCTGCAGTGAGCGGAGACTATGCCTCTGCACTCCAGCCTGGGCAACAAGAGTAAGACTCCATCTCAAAAAAAAAAAAGTGGTACCTCGAACCAATTAGCTGCCTTTTCTTTTGCTCTCTCCCCTCTCCCCAGGTCCCCAACCTCTCTATCATGCATCTCCACTTCTCTCTGTCTCTTGGCTATTTTTTCTCCTCTTATGAGGTCAATTTCTCCACAACATCAGTTGTCAGTGGCCCAAAATGGCCACTTTGATCTGACATCTATTTCCTGGTCTTTCAAGTTAGCTTTCACAGCTCCCCTGGCACAGTGTCTCATTGTCCCAAATCCGATTTGATGAAACAGGAATTGCATTGGCATCGTCATCTATTCAACGCAGGCCAGTCAATTTCTGGTCACAGTTGCTGGTCACTCAATGAATCAAGGTGTCTGGGGCCCTGCCCTAATAACAAGAGAATATTCTATGGCACAAAATATGGCCGCTCAGGGCACCAGGGATTCTAGGCAAGACACACTTCCTTCAAGGGTAGGCAGGACTTGACCACCTCCCAAAGCCCTCACCCCTGCACCAATAAAGCCACCAGCTTCCAAAACAAGGTCCCCAGTCTTAAGTGATTTGTCTCTCTGCTCCCACAAGGTGTGGCCTGACCAGGACCTGGCTTCCAGAGAGCAGAGTTATGGACAAAGGAGTCATACCTTTACTTGGCCACCGAGTCCTCTGCCACATGCACAAATGGAAGTAGTTAGTTTCTGTAATGAATTTGTAACGCTCCTTTGCTTGTTTCCTCTCAGTGCCTGATGGCCTTTCAAAACAGTGTGAATCCACTGAGAACCATAATTGTGCTGCTTGTTAGCCAATCTAGGCGTTCATGTCCACTGCATCCCCTGACCCAGACAAGCCGCTGTGCCTCCTCTGAAGTGGCCATAACAAATTTGCTTTATTGGCCTGAATTTGGGAACTCATGTTATTTGCCTTTGAGATAGAACAAAGAGACTCTCTATTTTCTCTGGCTCCTCCCACCTTTGAGATGGCCAAGAGCAGAGCATGTTTTCCAGGTTTCAGTTCACCCTGCAGAAACAAGGAGATTCTAGCAGTGTGAGAGGTAGACAGGTCTAATGGTTAAGTACACAGGACCCGCCTCGTATCCCAGCTCTGTCACATTCATGCTGTGTGGCTTTGGGCAAGTGGTTTCACCTCTCTGAACTCTACTTTCTTCATTGGTTCAGTAGGGAGAATAATACCTCCTTGGTTTGTTGAGAGGATGAAGTGAGAAATGTAAGCAGCCCACATGGCATGAGTTGATGTACAAATATTATTTATCTTTCTCTCCTCCTCAGCAAATATTTATGGACCACTTGAAATGTTCATAAGCTGGGTGCCATATGAAGAAAAGTTGAAGCAGCTTAGCATTCGTGTTGGGCCCCATGGCTCTGCCAATTTCTGGCTGTGTGTCTGGGCCAACTGACTTCACCTCTCTGAACCTCACCTTTGATGGATGATGGCAATGAAACCCACTTGTTAGGTTGGTCGTGACCATGTCTGCTATTTGCACCATCATGTTTCCCATCCCTGGCCAGAGCTAGGAATGTATCAGTTGACTCAATCTGTGTGAGGGCCTCAAAGTGTGGATGAAAATTTTCTAGGACAGAGAAAAGAGGATAGGTGTTTCTAGTGGAGAGGATAGGATGAGAAAAATCACAGAGGCAAATGTACCTGGTATCATAAAGAAATGCTGATGGGTCTGGCATCTTTAAGGCTGCAATTTGTTATCCTTTTTGGGGGAAGCTTAGCGATGGACTTTTGCAAAATCAGATAAAGCTGTCAGGACCTTCCCAGAGGTAGACACACAAGGTTTAGGTGTAGACTTTTAAGAAAAGTTGTCAAAGAAAAAATACAAGTGATTCAAACACCTACATGTTCAGGGGCAGGGGAGACAATGAAAAAACATAGTGTTTCAGAGAACCTATATGTAATGCTTCTTCCAAAAATGTAATAATTTGGGGAATTCTTTAAATTTTTTCCTCTAAATTCTTTAAATTTTACTGGCTGCAATGAAATGCAACCATGGGTGAGATTTCTCAGAAGAAAAACATACCATTGTTTCAAGTAGATAAGGAAAGCCATTTGGGCTGGCCTACCCTTGTTGAAATATAGGACTCACAGTGGCCTGGTCATGCTGCCTCTTTGTCGTGTTTGTCCCCTCTCGTTGCATTTGCAGAATTCATAGCTGTCCCTAGGTACTCTGCCTGGATAGGAAAAAAGATCACCGTCCACTATAGATTTAAGTACAAAACTGCAGCCTTTGTTGTGATGACCAAGTAAGGACTACCAATCCTACTGACCACTTCCGTGCTTCTCTGAGTTGAACAGAATACATTTGACCAATAAGGCTAGTTAAGAGTTCCACAATGAATGGTTGAAGCTGGAAGCAACATTAAGCTGGAAAGTGAGAAGGTAGTTCATGTGCTAATGGCAATTAATTTATGTATATATTTGTACTAATAATGTCAAATTAGACTGTGGTGGGCTAGCATGGAGTCACAACTGGCATTCAAATTGGTTACATCCTTGTGAACTGATTGTATTTCAAGATTCGAGCAATGATCAGCAAATAAACTTTTTCTACAATTTCTTGTATGCAAGCAGGACAGTTTTTACTTTATTAAAAAAAAAAAAAAAAAGATTTCCCACCCCCTCCCCCCGCCCAAGGGCTTTGCCTTCCCCCCAGGAGTGTCCCAGGTTGAGGTTTTGAAGCCAAGGACTATAACATGAGGCAGGAAGGATGGGCTGGAACTGTTTGCTGAGGACTTAGGCTTCATGGTGAAGGTGCAAGACCATGGGAGGTTTATATGGGGACAGCAGCCAGTAGTTGGGCTAGAATCTCTCTCCTTCTCTCTCTCAGTCTCTCTCTCTCTCTCTTTCTCAACCCACTTCTGTGGGCCTGAATGAAACCCAGAGTCCCTGATTGAACTTTATGGCTGACTATTTAAAAATACAATTTTACGGTCTTAAAATATCCCAACAATTAGGAACACTAAAACCTGGAAACCTACAAGCATCATAGCCACACGCTCTTGTAGCGAGTGTTCATTATTTCAGTATGTGTATTGATTTCCTGTGGCTGCCATAACAAAGTACCACAACCTGGGTGGCTTAAAACAACAGATATTTATTCTCTCACAGTTTTGGTGACCAGAAGTCCAAAATCAAGGTAATGGCAGGAACAGTTCCTTCCAGAGGCTTGGAGGAAGAATCTGTTCCATGCCTCTCTCCCAGTTTTTGTGGCTCCCAGCAATCCTTGACGTTCTTGGACTTGTAGATGCATCACTCCAAGCTCTGCCTCTGTCTTTACATTATCTTATTTTCTTTCTTAGTTCTTTCTTTCTTTCTTTTTCTTTTTTGAGACAGAGTCTCACTCTGTCACCCAGGCTGGAGTACAGTGGCACAATCCCAACTCATTGCAACCTCCACCTCCTGGGTTCAAGCGATTCTCCTGCCTCAGCCTCCGGAGTAGCTGGGATTACAGGCCTGCACCACCATGCTCAGCTAATTTTTGTATTTTTAGTAGAGAGGGGGTTTAACCATGTTGGCCAGGCTGGTCTTGAATTCCTGACCTCAGGTGATCCACCCACCTTGGCCTTCCAAAGTGCTGGGATTACAGGCGTGAGCCACCATGCCTGTCACTTTATTTTCTATGTATCTTACTGTGTCCAAATCTCCCTCTTCTTTCTCTTATAAAAATACTAGTCAATGGATTTAGGGCCTACTCTAAATGGATGATTTCATCTCAAGATCCATTTGCAAAAATCTCATTCCCAAATAAGGTCACATGCTGAGGTTCTAGGTGAATGTGAATTTTGGCGGGTGGGAGGACACAATTTAACCCACTATGGATGTATCCTTTCAGAAATTACATTACATAGACCTGCCTTTGTAGAGCAGATTTAAAAAAAGAAAGAAAGAAATTACATTATAGACAGAACTTAATATTTCTCATATTTAGTTCTTTACAAAAAAGATCATATTACACATCATGTCAAAGTCACACCGCTAGGAAGTGATAGAATCCAGACTCAAACTCATGCTTAGGGACCTGCATTCTCAGCAGCTGTGCTCCCCTGTCATTGTGTGCTATGAGAGGTTCTCTTCCTCCCTTTATGCTGGCCTCTTAGGTTGTGTCCAGTTTGGGCTCTAACATACAATGCTTTATGAATATCCCATACCTATAACTTTGTCCCGGTGTGTATTTTTGTTACATAAATTCCTAATGGTGCAATTGCTGGGTCAAAGGGTTTCACTCCTTAATGCCAGGTTCTGCAGGGCTAATTAAAACCCTATTGGTTGATCGGGGGGCCTCCCCCCAGCCCCATCAGTCTACCCAATCCTCAGCCCCCTTTTCCACAGAAGGAGGCAAAGGGAACTAATTTCCCACTTCCTGCAGCTGACAGAAGGTAGTCAGTATTTATGCCACAGACTGGGCTCAGGCAGAGGTCTTGTTTCCAGGAGAGAACAGGCTTCAGATTTGGACAATCTCAGCTCAAATCTTTGCTGTGCCTCTCACTAGCTGTGTGACCCTGGGTGAGTCACTCAACACCTCTGAGCTTTTATATCACTATATATGGCTCAGCGCGTTGGCTCACGCCTGCAATCCCATAATCCCAGAATTTTCGGAGGCCGAAGTGGGCAGATTACTTGAGGTCGGGAGTTTGAGACCAGCCTGACCAACATGGTGAAACCCCAGCGTTACTAAAAATACAAAAATTAGCCAGGCATGGCAGCACGCACCTGTAATCCCAGCTACTCAGGAGGCTGAGGCCCAAGAATCACTTGAACCTGGGAGGTAGAGGTTGTAGTGAGCCGAGATCTGCACTCTAGCCTGGGTGACAGAGTAAAACTCAATCAAAAAACAAAACAAAACAAAAAACAAACAAAAAACAAAACAACAGAAAAAAAAAGAAAGGAGGTCAAAATGTGTACCTACAGAATTGTTGGGACACTTGGAAAGAATGGATATAAAGTCCACAATGCAGTGTCCAACACTCAGGCTATTGCTTTTTCTCTGCTCTTATATTTACTTGAGGGTAATACATTTTTTCCCCAGGCCTCCCCACCCTTTCCTCTAACATTTGATGGAGAATGCTGAACCAGGCGCATGGGAGGAGATGCGCCAGGCTCTAGAACTGCCTTCCATGTGAATGCCTTTGGGTCCATTCAAACCCTTTCAAATTGAGACTCTCCACTTGAGATTCAACAGCTGAGGAGGTCAACTCACTGACAATGAAGGGCAAAGAGGACATTTATCCGGCTTAGCCTCAGCATAGCTATCAGGAAGCTAAAGGGTTCTCTCTCTCCCAGAGCTGGAATATTATGTTATCATTATCATTATCATTATCATGATAATTTTGACAGTGGTGATGGCATCAGGGAGCCGTTCTCACACTCACGCAGATAAAGGCATCACGGACCCAGTCTTGTAACTCTAGAGGAGCACTGTCCCCTCTGAGATTCCATTATTGGACTGGAGCCTGCAGTAGAAACATGTCTAATATTTACTTCATACCATAGAGGCTGCTTATTAAGCATCTGCTATGTGCCGGGCCTCATGCAAGATGCTAGACATTCAGCAAGCAAGACAGACGAAAACCCTCCCCTGGCACAGCTTAGAGACTGGCCAGGAGAAACAGACACGAGATAAGGGTTTGGTTTGGTTTTTCAGCACATGAAGACAAAATGTGATTTCTGCTACAAAGAGAACAGTGTGTTGTGTTTGAGAATAAAATAGCAAAATGTAGCAAAATGTGATTTCTGCTACAAAGAGAATAGTGTGTTGTGTTTGAGAATAAAATAAAGGGAAGGAGAATAGCAAAGGATAAGATCTGGGGATGCCCAGTGGATTGAAGGAGGCCTTAGAAAGCTGTGTGACGTTGGGCTAAGTCCTTACATCTCTTAGTCTGTTCCCTGCTATTTATTTACTTATTTATTATAGAGACCGGATCTCCCTCTGTCACCAAGCTGGAGTGCAGTGCAGTGGGATGATCACAGCTCATTGCAGCCTCAAACTCAAGTGATCCTTCCACCTCCGCCCCCTAAGTAACTGAGATTACAGTGTGTCTTTACAAAAAACTGAAAAAATTAGCCACCACATCTGACTAATTTTTTAAGTTTTTTTGTAAAGACAGGGTCTCCCTTTGTGGCCCACACTGGACTCAAACTTCTGGTTTAGAGTGATTCTCCTACCTCGGGCCTCCCAAAGTACTGGAATTACTGGTGTGAGCCACTGCTCCCAGCACCCCGCAGTCTAAATGAGAGGATCCATTAGTTGTATCCTGAGTTGCTGGGGTGGGAAATGACATCTCTTATGCAATGGTACCAGCACAGAGCCCACCCTATGGTTGCCTTTAAGTGGGACTAATTCCACTACATTGTCTGATTCTGGATTTAGGCTTCCAAACCCCTAAGCCCTTGGAACATTACAGTCTGTGCTGAACACTTGGGGTAAACAAAAGGAACCCCAATTTCCTATAACCTCAGGTAAGTGTTTCGGAGTTTGGAAAGTTCCCAAGTGGGCTTTCCAGAGCAAACCTTAACTTTGGGAAGAGATTCTACCTGACTTTTCTTTTTTTTCCTTAAATATTATATCCCAGCAACATGAGTGAAACAGTCCTTATTGCTTTTGTATTGTTGAATTTACTGTTGCTATGGTGACTGCTAATGATAGCGATGATGGTAATGATGATATTGAAGCCTGTCTGCCCAACCAATCTATTAAGCCTTCCCATATAGCATTTGTTACTATCATCTGCACGCTGCAGGCCTTAAAAAGGTTTTCATACTGCATATAGCATATGTAGAGCGTAATGCACTCCCAATTCCTTATTCTGTACAACATGTCAGTCTGAAATGACCTAAGTCAATGTTATTTGTAGAAACTTGTAAGTCACTTGAGGGAATCACTTAAAAAGAGAGAGGGAGGCAAAAATATTAACATAGATTTAGTAGATAGTCACAAGAATATGATCTACCAAGGGAAAGTGTTAGAAATTGTTGTTAATAAGCCTTTGTAGAAGAGACAGAATAAACATAAATCTACAGGAAAAATAAAACAAATCTATCGTAATGTGTAGCGAATACATGAGTGGGTTCTTGTGGGCTAGAATAACATCTCTCATGATGGTGTCATGCCGAGATGAGAAAAAGGACTGTGTCACCAACAACATAGATGGACGTGAAGGTGATCCATCAGGGCTACTAGGTGAGGCCTGAAAAAGCATCCTCAGTGATGAAAAAGACACCACTGTGAAGATGCGTGGGAAGAGTTCGAAGGAACAGTTTTTTGAAACGTGATGGGGGTGGGGGATGGCAAGGAAGTGATATTTGTAAATTAATGTATTGTGTTACATAGTAAGAAATCTATTTATTTATTTATTTCTATTTTTTATTTTTTATTTTTTATTTTCATTTTTTGAAACTGAGTCTCACTCTGTTACCCAGGCTGGAGTGCAGTGGCATAATCTCGGCTCACTGCAACATTTGCCTCCCAGGTTCAAGCGATTCTTATGCCTCAGCCTCCTGAGTAGCTGGGATTACAGGCGTGTGCCACCACGCCTGGCTAATTTTTGTGTTTTTAGTAGAGATGGGGTTTCAGCATTTTGGCCAGGCTGGTCTTGAACTCCTGGGCTCAAGCGATCCACCCTCTTCGGCCTTCCAAAATGATAGGATTACAGGTGTCAGCCACCATGCCCAGCCACGTAGTAAGAAATTTAAAATATAGTTTCTATAACTAATTAATAGATTAAATATTGCAAGACATTTGATTATTTCATCTTCTCATCCTTATAAACTGGGACATTTATTGTTTAAAAAATTGTAATTTCTTTAGGAAAATAGGTTGAGGCCTAATTGGCATCATCTACTTCATTTTTAAAGTCTAGGCAGAGCTGGGCATGCAGTGGGTAATAGTGAAGAGAATGAATGAATGAATGAATGAATGAATGAGTGAATGAATGGAAAATTTGACCACTCCCTGTAAGACACATCACCTCAAAGAGACTCAACTCCTAGCCATAGAGGAGATTCACTTTCATTTGGAATTAACTTAATCTTTGCATGTAGTTCTTGCCTTTCCCAGAATTTAGCACCCTAAATAGTCAAGAGGAAGCCAACTGGTCCCTCAGCCACAAGGCACTTGAACCTCAACTCCTCCAGAGCAGAGCAATCCAAGCTAGATGAATTCCAACCCCATCAAAGGAGCTTGGGGTTGCGCACAGACAAGGGTTTGGGGTGGGATTCTTGAAATCCTTTCTTTTTGGGAGAAACAAGTGCAACTCAAGTCTGGGATTGTCGTTTCAGATTCCCTTGATGACTTAGCACTGAGGCCTCAAAGGATGATGGAGCAAAGCAAGAGATAGAAAGGGAGGGAGAAGGTGAAAGCTTTCACAGGAAGGCAACTGGTAATAATCCAAGCTACTACTATGCACAGAGGCCTCACCTGTGCCAGGCACTGTGCCCAAGACTTTACCTGCACCATCTGGCCAAGACCATTAGCTTCATCCAATGGCAGAGCCAAGCTGTTGGGCAACACAGATCAAGGCCACACAGCCAGCCCAGGGAGGAGCAGGGGGTGCACCAGATCTACCTGTTTGCAAAGTCTGAGCTTTTAACAACAGTATTCAAACTGCTTCTAAAATTTTGAGCTGGCAACTGCAACAGCAATAACAAAATCAGTGAAACTAGCTAACCCATAGACTTACTGTAAGTCAGGTACTGTTCTAAAATGCTTTACATGCACTGGAAACACTATCATTATCCTCACTGTACAGATCAGGAAACTGAGGCACAAAGCGGTTAAGTTGCCCAATTCAGCCAGGAGCTAGGAACTTTCTCAGGACTGTCCCACTTTTAGTACTGAAAGCTAAGACCCTTCAGTCTCATGCTAACTAGGACAGTTGGTCGCCCAAGCCAGGAATAGGCCCCAGTCAATGTGGCACCGAAGGACATGCTGTTAACCAGCTCCTGACCCTGCTCCAGGAAGTGGCTAGGTGTAACTGTGATGTGCATGAGGTTTGCAGTCAGGACAAGTGCCAGGCTAGAGTCCAGACTTTGCTTTGTATTAGTTGGCGAGCCTCTAAAGCGTAGTTTTCCTTATCTGTAAAAATGGGAATAGTAGAATCTGTTTCATTGTGTTATTTGAAAGGCTCCCAGCAAGGTCATCCCTGCCGGGCCCAGGGCTGGACACAGGGTGGATGCCCAGCAATGATTAGATTGCATGGTCACCCCCATCATGGTAACAAAGATAATCGCATGTTACTCTGGATGAAACAATGTCAGCACAGGCAGGCAGGTGTGTTGAGAAAGGATTAATCTAAGCAACTGCTGAGGCAAAGGGAAGGGGAGCTGGTGTGACCCTTATGTCATACCAGATGCTGCCATCTCCCCTTCCAGATGCCAGATATCCTGGCGGGGCAGGCCCAGCTGCCTTGGAAAGGAGGCATCTGTGTTTCCCACTCGATCCTGTCTCCGAGGCTTCAGCATCAGCCTTAACCTCCAGAGCCCAAGGAAAGCTCCCCTGGCTTCCTCCCTCTTCCCTCTGCTATTTGTGGTCCTTGTGGTGTTCTAGGGACCAGTGATACTGTTCTTATCCATCACATATTCTCTTCCCAAACAATGGGAATAGGATGTTCAGCCCATCAAACCCCCGATTGTCTCACTCTCTCCCAGAATTGTAGGATGGAGAACCCTGCACAGCCTCAACATTCCATTGCTAACTCAACCAGCACCTACAACAAATTCTGCATTTCTTCACCTCTCATGCTATTCTGATTCCAGCTCTGTTGAAAGCCATCACTCAGTCATTCAACAAACGCTTAGGGAGGCACAATGAGTAAGTGTGTGCTCCCAAGCCAGGCTGCTCAAGGTCATGATGGCAGCTTCACTACTTACCAGCTGCTAGATCTGGGAGTCAAGTTCATTAGCCTCTCTGTACCTCAGTGGCCACATCTGAAAATGGGCTCAAAAATAATACTCATCAGATCATGTTGTATAAATCCTGGGAACAATGCCAGGTGAATAGTAAGTGCTTAATAAATGACACTAATCATTATTAGTTTTATTATAAATATTAATGTTACTATGTGTTGCACTTTCTAGAAGCAACCCTTTTATTATATCCTTGTTTCTGGGCCATGATGAATGTAAACACCCCCTAGGGAAAAAATATTACAAGGAGATGAGCATTAAGATTGAGAATCCAGAGGTGGTATAAACACAACTTCCTCTTGCTGTCATTGTCCACCCTGCCCAGAACTAGCTACAAGAGCATGTGACCAGTGCATTGGCACAGGGCCCTGCACTAGGAAGGCCCCATGCTTGAGGCTCATACCTTATGGCTAATGCTGAATCGAATGGTCTGTGTAAATCAAGTCCAGTGGACAAGGGAGCACACATGGTGCCTTGGATCCTGGGCTCATGAACTATCCCACCTCCCGCCACCTCATCCTTTTCCTGGGCTGGCTCCTTGGCCATCCTCTCCTCTGATTTCACCTCCACGTTCTCCTCCCTGCCCTGCCCAGCAGTCAGTTTAACTTCCACTCACAATGGGGCCTGAGTATGGAGAGTCAGGGTAGGAGCATGCACCTTGCTGCATGTCCACCTGGATCATGGTGACTGCCATCTCACTCTGGGCTGGCAGTACCACCCTCTGCCCAGCTGGAGACTGGCCAGAGGCTGCAATTCAATAGGGACAAGCCTCTCGTTTACACTGATTCAGGTATCTAGCACATCCTGGTGCAGAAGTTGCAGTACCCTTGAGGGTTACCCTTCCATCATGAGTTGGGGCTAATGGAAAGCAAGGATGGCAGGAGGGAAGAGAGGATGGCAGGAGGACCTAGCAGCCATCAGACCTGAATGAGCTTGTGCACACCCTGCATGGCAGGGTAGGGTTCCTGGATGCCTGGGAGAGCATGTACCGACCTAAGAATACCATGCCTGAGAAGCATGCCCTTGAACTGGCTCTGTCCCTAGTATGACCCTCTGTTCCTCCTTCCAACCTTCCCAAGTCTGGCTTATGTTGAACTCTTCTGGCCAGCTTCAGGCACTCTCCTGGAAGAAGCTACAATGCACAAATTGGGCAATTTTGGTGATTCTGCATCAGAGTGAAATGCCAGGTGCTCTGGTATCTGCATTTAAAACTGGCTTTGCAGAATCAAAATATGAATTCTAAAAAAAATTATTCTAATAATGTAACTTTTTTTTCTTTAGATAGAATGCATTTCCCTAGAATACCATGATAAGTCAAGAGAAAGACCACAGAAGAAAGGAAGTGGCTTTATATTTTTGTAACTTCAATAGCCCTTTTCCCTGCTTTTTGAGCAGGGACTCTGCATTTTCATTTTGCACTGAGTACCACAAATTATGTAGCCAGTCCTGCATCCACCGTACTGAGGAATTTTGAGGTGCAATTTTGCTAGCAGAATTTATATCTCCTCTCAGTGTTAACAAATATTCCCTTTCACGTAGAAGCAAAATGAGGAAAGAAAATGAAAAATGAGAGAAAGCAATGAGAAAGGAAGAAAACCTCTCCCTGCCACCAACATCATCCCGCTGCCTCCAGGGCTGGGAAACGGACTGTAACACTTGGACAAGTCAATTTACCTCTCGGAGGCTCAGTTTCCTCATGTGTCAAGTGGGCACAAGTATACAGTCTTTCTCATAGACACTTCAAAGGATTTAGTGAGATAGTGCTGAACTGGATGCTGTGCTTGGTATAAGTGCTAAATAAGTGGTATTTCTAGCCTTTACACTATAATGGTAATAACAGCAACAAGAAGAAGCAAATCTAGTTGTCGTAACGGTATAAACAGGTGCTAGGAGCCGATGAAAATTATTTTCTCTCCAGGCTCAACTTGTGAACGGATTCTTCTGCTTGTGAGGGATACAGGACCTTCCCTTATCTTTCTCTCATACCTTTTCTGTTGTTATTTCTTTTCTAGGTCACTTCCTTTGCTGTGCAGCTTTTGTTGCCCCACAGATTCCTGGCCCCAGCTAGTCTGGGTCACTTCTGTCTCAGGCTGTACCACTCAAATCCTGGCTTATAATTACAGCAACATTCGCCAAGCCCGCATGTCATCACATACCCTGGAGAGGCCAATGGCTGTGTTTTATGTCATTTCTGTATGATTATTACAACAACAAAGAAAGATACCATGAGAATACACCTGAATTTATGAATTAAGGCAAGGGATATTCACCAGGGTCAGGCACTGAGCTCTTGTTTATGGAAGACATTGACTCAGCAAATCCTTTTTATGGCTTCAGTAAAGAGCAAAACTGCAGTTCAGCTTTCAAGACTGCAAACTCTCAACTAGGAATGAATTTTCATCCTCCCTTCACATTTGTCCAGTCAGAAGACCAGGGTACTTAAGGCTCCCTCCTCCAATTCCTCTTCTTCCCTCGACAACTCAGAACCAGCCACGCTCACGTAACTAAAAATACATACGTCAAAGTGCCCAAAGGGGTGGACTCTCATTCACTGCTGGTGAGAGTATAAATTGATTCAACTTTTAGCGAGAGTAATGTGGGAGAGTAATTATTATAAATAGATTTGTTCAATTTCTGAGAGAGCGATTTGCCAGAATAGTTATCATAAGCCTCAACAATATCCAGACTCCTATAGATCCAACAATTTTGTAGCTAAGAAAATAATCTGAAAGAGAGGCAAGGGTGAATATACAACAATGTTCATTGTAATATTATGCTTAAGAGTTAAGAAGCAGAAACAATTGAATTGCTGATATCATGGACGTGCTGAGTCCATGTTCTGGTTATCTCTTGCTATACTAAAAAAAAAAAAATCCTCAAACTTACTGACTTAAAACAGTAAAAATTATAAATATTTTGAAACGAATCTTCCATGTGTGCAGGGTTGTATGGGAATGCCTCCTTCTGGTTCTCAGTAACTTGGTCCTCAGATGGGGTGACCCACAAAACTAAGGGCTGGAACCGCCTGAAGCCCTGGTCTCTTGACATAGTATTTCCAATATGGTGGCCTGAGGGGACTCTGACTTCTTCAGTGTGGCTCAGGACTTCATGAATTGTTTTAGAAAAAATGAATTGTTTCATTTTCTTCTTTATATTTTCCGAGTTGTCTAAGATTTTCACAGGCCATATTGGGCTGTGTTTGGCTCCCATGTGACTTTAAGAATGTTCATGTTCAAATCATCACTTCCAGCTTCTATGAAGAGTTCTGGCCACCCACAGAGCAGGAGGCTGGTGCAGTACTGACAAATCGACCCCTGTAGAGGGGTATAGACTCCTCAGTTTGTCTTGCCCCAGCTGGCTTGCCTTCCTGTATTTACAATCCCTGTCTGCCCTCTGGGGGCATTCGAGTTTGCAAGCCCCTAGTCCATATTTAGAACTGAAAAGCAAGAATGACAGCATCATGGGACAAATCTAGGGGAAAGCACATTGAGACAATTTGTGGAGAGAAAAATGGTGTCTTGGAAAAAAAGGGTACAACAGACACTCACCGGGGCTACTTGAGAGTGGAGAGGAGGAGGAGGGTGATGATTAAAAAACTACCTACTAGGTACTGTGCTTATTACATGAGTGACAAAATAATCTGTACACCCACCCACCCCCAACACACAATTTATGTGTAGAGCAAACCTACACATCTTCCCCTGAAACTAAAATAAAAGTTAAAAAAATAAAATTAGCAATATTTTCCTCTGAATTACTTCTGCCAGAAGCCCAAAAATCCACAAATAGACCCACTGTTACATACGGAAAATCTACTACCTACTCTTAATAGTCCCCAGTTTTAGGTTGTAATAAGACCAGTATTTTGCTGAATCTCTACTTTTTCTTAGTCAAAGCCAATTTATTCAAAGACTATCAGAAAACAAGATTTCAAAATAATTCTAAAGGCCTACATGTCATTATAGAAGTGTATGACTTTCCATGGGCCCTGAGACTTGAAATTGATAAATGTTTGTATTCATTTTCCAATGAAAACTATGGATTATATTAATACATCTTAAAAATACATGCAGTGTTCTGGAACCATTGTATAAAATACAATCTATTGGGAATATAAATATTTTCATAAATTCTATTATGAATGTAGTTTTTTTTTTTTTTCTAATGGTGTCTTGGATGTAAAACATCCATGATTTCCCTACACCTTGTGTAAGCTGGTCCTAATTCAAGTCAAGTCTCCCTCACAACCCCAGAGGATCTTTCCCACCTCACTCTTTCTCCCCAAAGCATATGGTAGGTAGCACATGGTAATGGGCCACTGGCATCACCAGCAATGCAAACAAGTCCAGAGAAAGGTTGAAGAGCCAGTGGAAGGGACAGAAATATGAGAAGAAAGATGGAGATTCTGACTCCAAGTAGGTGCCTTGGGTTGGGAAGAGGGAGAAAAAGAACAAAATCATCAGTAAAAGAAAAGGGTGAGAAATGGCCATTTCATGCCTTCTAGCAAGCAAGGTGAACCCTGGCCACCGTAACCACTCCCACTCTTGCTCATTTGCTAGCAACATGTGTTGCAGACACCCAGAGGAAGCCTGCAAGCCTCCTTCCAAATTACAGTTAACCCTTGAACAACATGTGAGGTTGGGGTGCTGACACTAAACACTGCATATAACTTTTAACTCCCCCAAAACTTAATGACTAATAGCCTACTGTTGACCAGAAGCCTTACTGAGAACAGAAACAGCTGGTTTTGTTAACACATATTTTGTATGTTATATGTATTATATACTGTATTCTTACAATCAAGTAAGCTAGAGAAAAGAAAATGTTATTTTAAAAAATCATAAAGGGGCCAGACGTGGTGGCTCATGCCTGTAATCCCAGCACTTTGACAGGCCAAGATGGGAGGGTCACTTGAGGCTAGGAGTTTGAGACCAGCGTGGACAACATAGTGAGACCTCGGTCTCTACAAAGAAAATGTAAAAAATTAGCCGAGTGCAGCGGTGCATGCCTGTGGTCCCAGCTACTTTGGAGGCTGAGATGGGAGTATAGCTTGAGCTATACTGCAGTGAGCCATGATCTCACCACTGTGCTCCAACCTGGGTGACAGAGCAAGACCATGCCTCAAAAAAAGAAAAAGGGAAAGAAAATCATAAGGAAGAGAAAATACATTTAGAGCACTGTACTGTATTCATCATTACCATAAGTTTATGTCATCTGTTTATAAGATGAATTGTCTGTCTGAAATGGCGGGCAATTGCAGCGGCAGACCGCAATCTAAGATACATAACAAGCAATTCAGCTTTTTCTTGTAACGTCATGACCTTCCTCTGCTTCTTATGAGCACTTCCAGCATCACTAGTGGCACTTCATATGGGTCCCGCTGTGTTTGTCAAGGTTTATGGTATTGCACTAAACATAAGGAAAAATACGTGAGAACCGGGAGAGATCACTTTTTATTGCAATCTGCAATTTACTGGAGAGAGGCACTGCTCACTTGGAGATGATGATTAGTGTTGCATAGCATTTTAGGTGGATACTTACAACACTTGAGCTCATTGCAATAGCAACAGAGGTGGCTACAAAATTATCCCAGTAGCAAAGTATGGGCTACAGTTAATTTTATGCAGTTATGACTTAATACTGTATCTTTATCTTTGTTTATATTTCTCTTGACTGTGAATGGCACCTTGTATGTTCTTTTTGTTTGCATAAGTTTTGATAAATTTTAACTTTTTGTAATAAACATTTATATTTTATGGTAGTAAATGATAAAAGAGACTAGTATCTACATATATTGTATGCATTGTTAACATATCTAACTTTTTCTTAATTTCTTTGATACTTAGGCTATGCAATTTTTCCGTGAGTTTTTTCAAGTTGCAACAAGTTTCCAAAATGTTTTTCAATATACTTATTGAAAATAATCAGTGTATAAATGGACCCATGATGTTCAAATCCATGTTTTTCAAAGGTCAACTATCTAGTCTTTTGAGTAACAACTTCATGATATTTACTATATGTACAAATCACCTACGCCATTTTCTATTCAATATTCATCTTTGTATTGATTTTAAGTTGAATTCTTTTTAAACTGAGTTTTGTTCTATGCACTCCCTCTGAGAAATCATGGCATTCATGGGTACTGTGCTACACACACACACACACACACACACACACACACACACACATACACACACACACGCACACACAATGAGGTGCTGGGTCTGGCCTGTACAGGCACAGGAAAGCCACTGTCAAGTTTTCAGAACTTTTGGTAGCTGTTTATTAACTGCAGCCATCATGAAAAATTAAATTATATGAACTTACAATTAAGTTATTCCAAAGAAAAAATGATAAATACTTAAAACTCACTGCTTCCTGATTATTTTATATTATTCTATTATCACTACACTTGAGGTTATTTTCATCTATTGTGTTTGTGTGGTGGAAATACTATATAATAATTTGCTAATCCACATTTCTTCCAAACTCTGCCTTTTGTGACATCACAGTGGCAGCCTGACATCTACTATGGTGGCAATATTTACACCATGGAACTTAGCAATTGCTATAGTTCACGATGTTTTCCCCTGGAGAGCTAATTGTTAAGCATTTACCAGCACACTGCACCTTTGCGTCGTTAGTAAAAATACAGTATGTGTTAGGATAATGTAGTAATATACATATATTTCAGAGTAAGCAGAACAAGATTAGCTGCAGACCAAGCCTGGCTGCAAATTTAAATATATGCATACATTTGAATATATGCATATATTTAAACATAGCAATATATTTAACTATATATTCAAATATATGTGCATATTTCTACAGTCTCTAAGAAGATCTTGGGTGCCACAGTTGGAGGATATGCAGTATTTTAACACTCACTAGCCCAACGGTCACTTGCTGGGGAAACTGAGACCCAGAAGAGACAGGTGAGTTTCTTGAGACCACGTGATGAGTTCAAGGCCATCCCCAGCTTCCCTGCATTTCCCTCTGCTCAATGCTGCCTCCCTCTGTGGCTGATGTCAAGTCTCATCACTGAAGCACAGTGTTCAGAAACAAGCAGAACAAGAGGGAGCAGCTCGAATGGAGGAGGCGGGGGTTGGGGGCTTGGGGGAGGAGCCAGGGGGCTAAAAGGGCTATTAGAAATTCACACAATTAATTAGACAATGCTGGGGACACAGCCGTCTGGATAACCCATTGATAAGGATGGCAGGGGGCCTATTCCCCAGTCCCCTTGCGGGTTACCGCAAGCAAAGCTCCACGATCCACCTCCCCCTCAATATCCAGCCCAAACCCGCTTAAATACTTGATGCAAAATTAAAGCCTGTTCCAACTTTTGTGAACACTGTACCAGTGTCTGCTGGCGCTGGGCGCCCACCACCCCCACCATTTCCCAAGGAGCCCCCGCCTCTGTCCTGCGCAGCCTCGTCCTCCATCAAGCAGAGTGCATTAGGACAATTAGCACCAGCCTACTGGCGCCAATTAGCAACCAATAGTGTCTATATTATGGAGAGGGGGCAGCAGGGGCGCCTGTGTCTCCAGCCGGCCTTCACACTCAATTACATTAAGTGGAGGCTCCGAGCTGCGGTCGGTGGGCAGTTGCTGGAGTAATTGTGTCTTCTCCGTTGCTGCAGGCGATCTTCTCCCGGCTCCCTGATCCCCGGACTGACTCCTCTCCTTGTCCGCTTACATCAGTATACACTCTTTCAAAAGGGAAGGGTGGGGGAGGGACGGAGGGGGAGAGGCGGCTACGGCGCCCAGAGAGGCAGGAAGAAAGTCATGGAGCTAAATCATGATATGAATCATTCATTCAGTCAACAAATACTCACGGAGTGTCTACTGTGTGCCTGACCTGTTTCTATAGTCAGGACCGGCTTCGTCATTGGCAGGGCTCAATGCAAAATGAAACCGTGAGACTCACTGCCCAAAACTTATTTAGTAGTTCAAAGTGGTGGCAACAGAGAGCACTGAGCCAAGTACAGGGTCCTTCTAGGCAGGCGTCCTTCTTAGCACAGGGGTCCTGTGTGACCACACAGGTCATGCATTTGGAAGGTGGATCTATCTGGGGCTTTGGGGTAGAGAAATGAACAAATCTGAACAAAAACATCTGCCAGTGAGGACTTCCCACCTTAATGGAAGAAGACAGTCGGTAAGTGATCAACAGAACAGATTAGGAGATTAGCTAGGTCTTTAAAAGGTGATGGATGCTATAGGAAAATGAAAAAAGTAGAACAGAGTAAGAGGGGTCAGGAGGTCCAAAGGGAGTGGGGCAAGGTACAGGATTAAGCTGAGTAATTGGAATATGTCTCATTGAGATTGGAGTAGAGGTTTGAAGGAGGTGAGAGAATGTGCCCTCTTCTTCTGGGAAAAGAGCCTTGTCGGTCAGGAAACAGCCAGTGCAAAGGCCCTGTGGCAGAGATCTATTTGCCATGTTTAAAAAGTGGCAAAGAGGCCAGTGTGGCTGGAGCAATGTAAGCAAGGAGGAGACCAGAAGGTAAAGGAGACCCCAAGAAATAAGAGAACTGGGGAGTGGATTGCATAGGGCCTCGATGACCATTGTGAAGATGTTGGCCTTTATTCTGAGTCACTCAGGAGCCACTGGAGAGCTATGAGCAAAGGAATGAATGATCAGTTATTTTTATTTTTATTTTTATTTTTAGAGACAGGGTCTCACTGTGGTGCCCAGGTTAGAGTGCAGTAGCACGATCATGGCTCACTGCAACCTCGACCTCCCAGGCTCAAGCAGTCCTCCCGCTTCAGTCTTCTAAATAGCCGGAACTACAGGTGTGCTCCACCTTGCCTGGCTAATTTTTGACATTTTTGTAGAAACGGGGTCTTGCTATGTTGCCCAGGCTCGTCTCAAATTTCTGGGCTTAAGCAATCCTCCCACCTCAGCCTCCCAAAGTGCTTGGATTACAGGTGCAAGCCGCTACACCTGGCCTCATACCTCCTCGTTTAAATGATGACTCTGAAAGCTATGTAGGGGCCAGAGGTGGGGCAATAAACATGGACACAGGGAAGCCCACGAAGCATCTAAAACAGGGGTTGGCAAACATTTTCTGGAAAGGGCCACATAGTAAATATTTTAGGCTTTGTGAACGATATGATCTCTGTCACAAATGCCCGGTACTGTTACTATAACACCAAGTCAGCCATATTCAGTGTGTGAATGAATGGGCAGGGCTGCATCCAAATGAAACTTCATGGATGCTGAAATTGGGGTTTCATATAATTGTTCTGTGTCATGAAATATCATTTTTCTTTTGCTTTTTTCCCAACCATTGAAAAATGTAAAAGCCATTCTTAATGTATGGCTGTGCAACAAAAGGGCAGCAAGCTAGATTTTTCCCAGGGGCTAGAGGTTACTGATCCCTGCTCTATGAAGTAACCCAGGGGAGAACAGGGTGGAAACAGGGAACAACACTCAAGTGGGGAGAGGGTAGATTCTGGATCTATTTTATGGTATAGCCAATAGGTCGACAGTGCAGTGTAAGAGAGAGATGCCAAAGATGACTCCCAAGGTTTGGGGTCTGAGCAACCAGAAAGATAGATTAACATCCATCCAACTGGAGAAGGCAGCAGGAGGTACCAATATGGGGAGGTGTGGGAGAGGATGATAATAGCCATAATAGCTATTGATTGCTTATGTAATTGGGCATTTAAGATGTGCTCAGCTCTTTATGAACACTGTTTCATTTAATCCTTACATAAACATATTTTGTAAGTTTGACTCCATTGACATCTCAGCCCATTTCATAGATGTGAACACTGAGTCTTATAAGAGCAAAGTATTTCTCTAAGATCTTCAGCTGGTAAGTTGCAGAAACAGGGGTTTCCCACTCAGGAGCCTGGGCTCTGCCGTATTACGCAACCCACACTGCTTTGGACATCTTACTCAAAGCAAGAAACTTTCAAACAGAAAGCAGAAGCCTTCCCAGGCCCAAGTTTTGGTTTTGGCTTTAACTTCAGTATTGGTTCAGGAGTATATGTTTCAACAAGCCCCTCCTCTTCCCCGTGCCGCAGTCTCCCTTGTCTTTTCAATGCGGCTCTGGGACCAGGACCTTCTCCAGGTTATTCTCTCATCTAACACACGCTGACATCATGATTACTCAGTTCTAAGCCAGGCAACCTGGGCAGGGAAGGTCCAACGGCCTTAGGAAAGAGTTAATTCTCTGTGAAATTACTGGGAATTATTTACATCTTTACACGGTGTTTTATATCTTTAAGTGCTTTCTGATTGCTTAGAAGCTAATCCCAGGTGGAGGCCAGAGGCCTAGGAGAAAGCCCTTGTCAAGTTGAAGCTGGAATCTG
Source organism: Homo sapiens (assembly GCF_000001405.40). Taxonomy (NCBI): domain Eukaryota; kingdom Metazoa; phylum Chordata; class Mammalia; order Primates; family Hominidae; genus Homo; species Homo sapiens. The sequence goes on from NC_000012.12 coordinate 115,573,141, forward strand.
GAGGAGCTGAAGGAGTTGGCAGGCCTGACGCAGGCATCTGCTGGAAACGCAGGCTTCCCCACCCACCTCCCGCAGGCTCCCTCTCCCGAACCCCCAAAAACTGTTACCCAGTTACCTTACCACTGGCCTCCAGCCTCAGTAGCAACTAGGCGGGTGCCACATACCCCGTGTGTACCTGACCACATAAGGAGACAAGTGAACAGCAGCAAAATACCTCTTGCCCTTGGGAAGCATGCACTCTGGCTAGGGAATATGGGACTAACATATCCTAGAATCAGTTTCCAGGAGCTGCTATTGGTGGCCTAATGTAAAAAGTGGCCACGGAGCCATTCGGCATGTCATTCTTACTCTGGAGATACTCAGTGGTGGACGGCCACGTTTCTGCCAGCATGGGACTTTCTGCTAGTCTGTGCAATGGGTGGGCAAAAGACTCCAACTACATCTTTCCGGAAAGAGGACTTAAGCTCGGTTTTGAAGGGATTCCTTCATGGGCCAGCTCTTTCGCTGAGCCAGCCAGGGTGCCCAGGTCTCTGCTCCGCTGGAGAGTTGGAGGTCAACAGGAGTGTGCCTGTCCTTAGGAAGGATAGAGGGAAATACATTTATTAAGTGCAGAAGTAATTCCAGTTTTTACCATTACTTTTTAAGGCCAAAATTGCAATTACTTTGCACCAACCCAGTAATTCATGGCCCTCCCCAAGAGAAACTGTAAAAGAAAACTGAAAGTTGACTCAGCTAGAATTTGTAGATAGAACGTCAGCAACATTGGAGTATCTTTTGTGGGTCGAGGGGAGTGTGGCATGTAGGAAATAATAGGGAGGTTGAAAGGTCTTCAAGAATGGGATGTCCAGTCTCATATATCTCCACACCTAGATATTATTATATTCTTTCCTGGTGCCTGTGAGCATGTCTTCAACTCTCCAGACCCTCAGTCTCTCATCTGTAAAATGGAGATGAGAATCTCTCCTCCGAATGGGCCATTTGGATGAGAGAATAAAATAACAAAAGTGAGTAATAGTAGTCATTGCACCAATAGGAAGAGCTAACATTTATTGAGCACCTAGTACATGCCAGGAACTCTGCAATACTTCCCATGAGCTGTGTCATCAACTCTTCTCAGCCACCTTTTGAAGCAAGATTTTGTACCAGCCCTGTTATGCAGATGAAGAAACTGAGACGTAGCATAGTAAATGATTTGCCAAAGTTACTTGCCCAGTTTGTAAGGGCCACAGCCAGTATACGAACCCAAGCCTGATGTAAGAATACCGCAAAAGAAAGCACCTGAGTTTTTAAAAATCTCTTTTGGATAAACTCCTCATGAACTGTATTGACAGGCATCATCCTGACAAATGATGCCTTTATCATCTGCTTTTGCTGCAGGAGTAAGTGTAGCCTTTTGGGGAAATCAGTCAAAGCTTCTTTTTGCTTCTCAGTGAATTTGGGGCAGACAGAAAACAATCTCCATCCAGCACATTGTGGATATTTGTCAGCTGTGTTAGCTTTGGTCCTCCAAGATGTAGTTGCCAAAAAGATATGAAACTTACAAGGACATTTTTAGTGGAAAGATATGTGAGGGAAAACTGGGGAGGAGCTGGAAAGGTTGGGAGAGCTGTCAGCCTACAAATAAGTCCACCCTTGAGTGAAAGGGAAAGAGAAGGGAAGCTGAATAGCAGAGTGCTAGGCTCCCACGTCATCTAAGGAAGCTTCCGAAAGATTGTCATGGAGTTCTCCAGCCCGAGTCGGCCATCAGAGCAGTCCCAGGTCTCCCACAAATGCACCTGTCTAAGACTTCCTGCAGCTGGGAGCCATAGTGAGAAGCATGGTCTCCCTATAAATGCAGCCTTGGATTTCAGAGCAGCTGCCTGGCTCTCCCATGGTACAGGATCTACAAAATGCATTACCCTGACCGCTGCACCTGTCACTCCCTGCAGATGCCACATGTTTGAACACTCACAAGGAAACACAGAGAGCCAGAAGACAGTGAAATGAACGGGCTGTCATGTCCCCCAGCTACCACGGATTGGCTCAGTGAAGAGAGGCTGTGGTCACCTCTGCATGGTTTCCTGGTACAAACACAAATTTCCTTTCCTCTGGCTGCATTCCTAAAATTAATTAAATCTTGGCTCAAGAAGGCTTCTTCATGCCAGCAAGGTAGGCACCCAAGTAGGCCATGATTGGTCCCTTCTGACCATTTATCGAAGGGCAGCCTTCCAAAACTCAAGGCCAGATAAGTGATGCAGCAAGAGAGCCACACCCTACAACTTACCACCAGACCTCAATTTTTCCACATGAGAAATGGAATTTTTGCAACCAAAAGCACCCAGGAATTAGTGTCTAACAGAAAGCACTCAGTCCCAGCATCCCTGCCTACCCATTCCCAACCCCAAAGACTGGATCGCTGTGTGCATTTCTTTTCTTTTTCTTTTTCCTTTTTTTTTTTTCTTTGAGATGGAGTCTCGCTCTGTCACCCAAGCTGGAGTGCAATGGCGCAATCTTGGCTCTCACTGCAACCTCTGCCTCCCGGGTTCAAGTGATTCTCCTGCCTCAGCCTCCTGAGTAGCTGGGATTACAGGTGCCCACCACCACACTCGCCTTGCACATTTCTTTTGTAGGATATATGGCCACTGCTGAAAGGCAGTTTGTGCAATTATTTGTTAAGGATCAAATGGTGAAGATGTAGGCCCCTAGCGTGCTCCTGCCTGAGTTGGTATCCCAGCTGCGTCACTTAATCAGTCTGTGCCTCAGTGTCCTCTCCTGCCAAATGAGCATAATAGTAGCACCAGCCTTCTAGGGCTGTTGTGAAGATTAAATGGATTCACATAGATGAAGCCCAGGGATCTGATGGATACATTGTAAGATACATTAGAAGGAAACAGTAGCTGTTAGCTTTTTAAAATGGTTACTGTCTCCCGTTTGGAGATGGGGCTATTGAAAGGGAAAGACAGAGAAATCAAATAGGCAGCCCGTGATGAAATCTGCATAGGAATTCAGGTCTCTGTGGCTGGCATTTAACCTTCTCAAATTCTGGGTGGATCTTGGAGGTGTGCATGTTCCCGTGTTCGTTTCTCATTGTACTCTTTTATGCTCAGGGCCTCTCCATTTTCAAACTACAGGATCTGATCTCAGGGCTCTGGATTACCCAGAGGAAGGACAGGCTGAATGGGCACCTCCTTCTCCACGGGAAGAAGCCATGGATGCCTCATCCTCTGGCCCAGCCTAGGCTGGGAACCCTCCAGACCTACCCCATTTAGAGCCCCCAGGGGCCCCAGGCTCCTCCCTGCTCACATCTTCCTGCTAAGTCTTGGTCAAACTTATCTCCTCTGCCCTGTATTTTAATTTTTCAAAGTCCAGGTTTTTTCTCTGTCTTTCTCTCATTATTTAAGGCTCGGTCTGACCTTTCCCCCTCCACTGTCTTCCTTTCATTCAGCTTCCTATCCAAATACAAGCTTTCCACACACCCACAGACTCTGTGTTCTCAAGTCTGGACTCCCACACTTGTTCAGCTCATAACCAGCACGAGTACACATCCCATATAGGTATCTACTCTGCACCAATAGGCATACTGCATGCACCGTGTGCACATCTCCATGATCACCCATGCTGGCAATGTGTGCTAAACCCGTGCATGCCTGCCGAGCACACCCACAGAGTGAACACACATGGGCACACACATGCACATACATAAGAATGTCACTATAGTAGCTAACATTAATTGAATGTTTACTACATGCTAGGGACTTTTCTATGAAATACCTTCTCTAGTCCTCACCACAACTCATGAAAGAGGTAGGATAATCATCTCCATTTTACAGATGAGGAAACTGAGGCTCAGAAAGGTTAAGTAACTTGCCCAAGATCACACAGCTAGAAAGTGACAGAGGTGAGATATGAACTCAGACTCTCTAACACAGAGTCAGCAGATGATGGCCCAGGGTCCAAATATGACCAATCACCTGTTTTTGTAAATAAAACTTTATTAGAAAACAGCCCCGGTCCATTCATGTATATATTGTCTGCCTCTGCTTATGCTACAAGGGCAGGGTTGAAGAATAGTGACAGAGACTAGATGGTTCACAAAGCCAAACGTGTTTGCTATCTTGCACTTAATAGAAAAAGTCTGCTGAACCCTGGTCTAACTCCAGAGTCTCCCTCTTATTCACTGTACCTGATGGTAGTTTTCCTGGTAGAATACTGATACACAGCTTCCATTTGAACTAAACTTGCAGTTAAAAAGAGGGGTGGGGAGAGTTGTTCTAGCCCAGCTCTCTTTTGCTTTATAGATGAGAAGACTGAATGCAGAGAAGCTCAAGGTCAAAAGCAAGGTCAGCCTGTACTGAGTATGAGCACACACACATCCCATGTTCTATTTCTTGTGCTCAGTCTGCAAAGCTGGAACATGTTCCTAATTCCCACGCACTCTGGCTGAGTGCTCACATGGAATGCACGTGTGCCCATGAGCTCACGTTTACATCTGAGTGTAGGTGCCCTGGCACATACCACCCCCCCACACACACACAGTGGCCTCTGTAACATGCCCACACACTCAGCTTGCAGATAGACACCCTATCACGCTGCTCTGCACTGTGAAAAGCTACCCTGCCCACAGGCAACCGCTATAACGTACAGACAAGATGCCTCCTTCCTGTTCACTCAGCAAGCACACACAATCGATGGGATAGAATGCTGGCATGTGTCCTCCCCCAACAAAGCTTAGGGTGGTGCAAAGAGGCAGGGGCTGGTGATCGGGGCATCCAATTGGTAGCCCCACATCTGCCTCGGGTTTCTCAGGGCCCCCAGTCTTCCCATGTGTAAAATAAAAGGCGTCAGCCACCGCTTCACATTTTTTAGGTAAATTCATTTAAAGGTGAAATTCACAACATAGTTCTTACTGGAAAACCAGTATCACTTGTCAAAAAAGTAACTACAAAAAAAGCAGCAAGTCAAAAAAGTGACAAGACAATGCATAGAATGGGAGAAATTATTTGCAAATCATGCATCTGATGAGGGAATTGTATCAGAAGATATAGAGATCTCTTACAACTAACTCAATAATACAAAGGACAAAGACCCCAATTTAAAAAACGGGCAGGCCGGGCGCGATGGCTCAAGCCTGTAATCCCAGCACTTTGGGAGGCCGAGGCAGACAGATCATGAGGTCAGGAGATCGAGACCAAGCTGGCTAACACGGTGAAACCCCATCTCTACTAAAAATACAAAAAAAATTAGCCAGGCGTGGTGGCGGGCAACTGTAGTCCCAGTTACTTGGGAAGCTGAGGCAGGAGAATGGCGTGAACCTGGGAGGTGGAGCTTGCAGTGAGCCGAGATCGCACCACTGCACTCCAGCCTGGCAACAGAGTGAGACTCCGTCTCAAAAAAAAAAAAAAAAAAAAAAAAAAAGGCAAAGGACCTGAATAGATATCTTTCCGAAGAGATTATACAAATGGCCAATAATCACATGAAAAGATGCTCGGCCATTAGGAAAATGCGAACCAAAACCACAAGGGAAGAACATTTCATATCCATTAAGAGGGCTGTGATCAAAAAGACAAATAAAAAGTTTAGGGAGAATGTGGAAAAGTTGGAGACCTCCTCTACCACTGGTGAGAATGGAAAATGGTACAGCCACTATGGAAAACTGTCAGTTTCTCAAATGGTGATGACCCAGCAATTCCTCTCCTAGCATATACCCCAAGATAAATAAAAACATACATTCACACACCCAAATTAATTGTATACAAATGGTCATAGCAGCATTATTCATAATAGCAAAAAAAAAGTAGAAAGCCAAATGTCATTAGCTGAATAAACAGAACGTGGTTTATTCACGCAATGGGATATGATTTCACCATAAAATGGACTGAGGCATGGACACATGCCCCAACATGGATTAACCTTGAAAAAATGATGCTAAGTGAAAGAAGCCTTGTATTATTCCATTCATGTGAAATGTCCAGAATGGGAAACCTACAGACACAGAAGGAAAGTAGATAGTAGATTAGTGCTTGCCCAGGGTTGGAGGAGATGGGGGCAGTGGGGGTGATGGCAGAGAGGCATCGGATTTCTTTTAAGGATGGTGAAAATATTCTAAAATCAATTGTGGTGATAGATGTACAGCTCTGTGAATATACTAAAAACCACTGGATTATACACCTTATGCGGGTGAGTTGTATGCTATGTGAATTTCAATAAAGCTGTTAAAAATAAATGTAATGAAAGCAAGTGCATTATTAAATTCTAGCTGGATACAGTTGCCCACTTAAGGTGTTTCACCTGTGGCTGTTCTCATTTTATTAAAAAGAAAGATTAGCAGCAATGGGGAAAATGTTAAAGACATACTCCAAGATGGGGAAACTTTCTTTTTAGTCCAACCGGATAGATTGAAGGAAAGTTGAAAGGGGAAAATGTTAAAGACATACTCCAAGATGGGGAAACTTTCTTTTTAGTCCAACCGGATAGATTGAAGGAAAGTTGAAAAGAGGATAATCTCTACGTGATACAGAGTATTTAATTCTGGTCCTCAGCTCATCAAATCCTATCTCAGGTAACCCGGTAGTACCTGCCCCATCTTTAGAATCATTGAAGATAGCTGTAGCCTCTTACCTTGGATTTTCGCTCCTGCCCTTGTCCCCTTTCAGCCTGTTATTAGCAAGGCTGGCAGGGTGATTGTGTTAAATATTAAGAAGCAATAGTTAGATCACACCCCTTCTTTGCTCAAAACCCTCCCATGGCTCCCATCTCACTCAGAGTAAAAGCCAAATTCTTACGATGGCCACAGGGCCCCATATGCTCTGGTCACCGTGTCTCCCTAACTCTCTGACCTATACTTACCTTCTGTTCATCCTTCTGAGCCCATGGGCTTCCTCACTGCTCCTTAAACACACTCTCTACCTGACCACTCTGGGGCTTTGCAATGCCATTCCCTCTGCTCAGATGCTCTTCCCCCAGGCAACGTGCATGGCTCACTTTTTCACTTCCTTTGAGTGTCTGTTCCAATGTCAACTTAGCAGGGAGGCCATGTCTGACCACCCTATTCTCTACTCCATTTCCAGCCTCACGCAGTTTTACCCCCTTCCCTGCTTTACTTTTCTGCCTAGTCCATATCACGAGCATATTATTTATGCATCTGTTGATGACTTCTTTCCACCAGGATGTCAGCTCCATGAGGTTGGGGACCTTGCCTGTTGTATTCACTTCTATCTCCTAGAACAGCGGCTGGCACAGAGTATGTGTTTTAAACATATACATTCAATGAATGAGTGAAAGGCTGAGTGATTGGAAAATCGTAGACTAGGTGACACTTCAGTATCCCTCTAATCCTAATAGTCTATAATTTAATTCTTGATAATGGAATGTGATTCAACAATTAGAGCTAGGAGTCTGGACACCCATCCTGTAGGGTCCTGTGATTTTTTCCAAATCGCTCATATGGTCTTCCCTATGAAGACCATATTCCTTTCAATTCCCCAATAGGGGTGAACTCTTCCTGCCCAGACCTGCAGAAGATTGCTTAGATGACATTACATATGTTTTATTGAGCTCTCTGGGTGTCACATCCTCTGCACGCATCTCTCAAAGAAGACTAACAATATTAATAATAAAAAGCAACAGTAATACACCGTGATTGAGCACTGACCACATGCCAGGCTCCATTGCAAGCACTTGGCATAATTTATTTAATTCACACAACACCAAAGGATAGGTAGTAGTATTCTCCCCACTTCATGGATGAGGTGACTGAGGCACAGAGAGGGGGAAAGTAGTTCCCAAAGACACACAGTTGGTGGGAGGAGGAACCAGGATTTGAACTCTGGTTATCTGATTCCAGCGATCACATGTCTAACTTCTCATAACACTGGAAGGTGCTATTATTGCCCTAGGAGAAAACTGTAGCTAAAAAATAAATAACTGATTGGATATTTAAATCCAGGTCTTTCCAACTCAAATGGTTGCAAGGAGAAGGAAGAGGAGGTAGAGAAGAGGAACGCTGTTTCTAGTGCTTAATGTGTCCCAGACCCTATTGTAGAGGCTTCAGGTGCGTTGTTTTGTTTGAATTTCAGAGCAGGTCAATGCAGAGGAGAACACTGAGGCTCAGAGAAGTTCAGTAACTTGGCCAAGGTCACACTTCCCTATTTCCACTTTTGGACTAGTAGTCAAGCACTTATCCCCCAGAGCCTCCAAGAAAAGGCTGTTGGACCAAGATGCCCCAGTTGGACAAGGTCTTGGCCAAACATCCATCTCCAAAGGCCCGGGAGAAGAAGCTGGTGGGCAGAGCTGCCCCAATTCAATCCAGTTGAACTTCCATCTGCCTTTGCAAGGACTCAGGGCTCAAAGGCAAAACACTGGTAAGCTCCTGAAGCTGGGGCAAGGACAAAAGAGAGCTAATTAAGACTGAAAGCAAGACAAGGACCCCAAGCACTGCCTCCTTTTACTTTAGAGAGACCAGATAGTCTTACATTTCAGTCATTTATTTGCAGACATCTATAATGGCATCTTCAAGAGACCTGTGTGCACCTTGTCTGAGTTGAAGTACACACCCTGAAGAGGAGCCAGTTATGAAGGACCAAATGCACATATTAAAATTAAACATCACACGATTCTCAAAGTATTGGTTATTAATGCCCAGTGGTCTCACTTGCGCTGGGATCCACATTATTTCTGTGCACATTTGGAAGACACATTATCATGGCAAACTGCCAGGCTGAGATGAACTGTGGGTTCAACCAATCACCAAAGGGTTCATTCATTTATCCCTGAGACAATTTCCTCAGAGAGGAAAAGGCACTTGCCTAAGGTCACACTGCTGGTAAGTGGCAAAGCCGAGGTGTAAACTCAGGCAACCTGTCTCTAAGCACCTCACATAGGCGGTGCTTCAGTCTGTTTGTGTGCACTCAGACACTTTCAATGAAATTTTGGCATGAAAAGGTACAGCAATTGCGAGGTGAGCTAAAGGCGGTTATTTTCCCTCTGCTGAAACACGAAGATTCATTGCTGATTCTATGAGTTGGTCTTTGCTGCTCTTGGTAAGAATGACCTCTCAACCTGTGTAGGGAAGGTGGGCATCACTGAGTCACTGAGATGCTGGAAGATTCACTTTTTTAAGAGCATAAATGAAAGGCAGTTATTCAGATGATCAAAAACGCTTCACAAAAGGATTCTGTGCCGGTGTCTCTCAATAGCAAACTTCCTTCCTCTTGTCTTAGAAATTCATTCACTTATTCATTTAGCAAATGTTTATCAAGCCTCTAATGTATGTCTGGAACTCTTATAGGCACTTGTTCATAACTGTGAACAAGACAGATAAAATCCCTGCCCCCAAGAGGCTTATATCCTAATGAGGGAGACAGATAACGTGGTAGGCTGAGAACTAGTGCCCCGGAAGATATCCACTTTTGAATCCCTGGAACTTGTGAATGTTAAATATTTTTTACCATGTTTTACCCCACATGGTAAAATAGAAATAAAAATAAAAACATGTTTGCAAATGGGATGAAGTTATGGGTCTTGAATTAGGAATGATCCTAAACACATGAATTATAAGAGGGAGGCTGGCCAGGTGCAGGGGCTCATGCCTGTAATCCCAGTACTTTAGGAGGCCGAGGGGGGTGGATCCCTTAAGCCTGGGAGTTCGAGGCCAGCTTGGGCAACATGGTGAAACTCTGTCTCTATAGAAAATACAAAAATTAGCCAGGTGTGGTGGTACATACCTATAGTCCCAGCTACTTGGGAGGCTGAGGCAGGAGGATTACTTGAGCCCAGGAGGTTGAGGCTGCACAGTGAGCCATGATCATGCTGCTACACTCCAGCTTGGGAGACAGAGCAAGACCCTGTCTAAAAAAAAAAAAAAAAAAAAAAGGGAGGGGAAAGAAAAAAATAGGGAGGCAGAGGGAGATGTGACACACATTGAGGAGGATGTGCTGTGAAGATGGAGCAGAGAGAGATTACAAGCCACCACTGCCAAGATTGGAGTAACGCTAACACAAGCTGAGGATACCAGGTATGATTATCAATTCCATTTTACAGATGAAGAAACTGAGTCTCAGAGAGGAAAAGGAACTTGCCTAAAGTCACACTTTTGGCAAGTGGCAAAGCTGAGATGTAAACCCAAGCAGCCTGTCTCTAAGCACCACACACAGGTAGTATCTCAGTCTGTTTGTCCCTCGCCAATTAGAACCTTCCTCCAGGAGTTGAAAGAGACATGGAACTAATTCTCCCCTGGAGCCTCCCGAGGGAGTACGGCCCTGCCGACACCTTGACTTCAGCCCAGTGCTACCGATTTCAAACTTCCTACGCCCTGAACTAGGAGAGAATACATTCCTGTTGTTTTAAGCCACCAAGTTGTTCGTAATTTGTTACAGCAGCCATTAAGTGAACAAATATAGATCATTAAAAAAATCCGATGCATAAACAGTACCGTGCCAGGTGCTGTGCAAATGGGACTGAATGCTCAACGGGACTTTTCAGAGGCATTCCCTGCATCCAGTGGGGCTCTTCCGTAATGGAAAGTCCAATGACCAGGAAAGGCTTCACTTCCTGGCTCCACTTTCCTTCTGCTGAAACACAAAGATTCATCGCTGATTCTATGAGTTGGCCTTTGCTGCTCTTGGTGTGCTCCCTGTAAGCACAATCCCAAGGCCCGATGGAGCCTTCTCCCTGCATCCTGTTTAAGCCCAGCAACTTCCCTCGCCAATTAGAGGCTTCCCCTTCAGCCGGTCTGGCTTTCCCCACACCTGCCGAGGGAAGCACGTGTCGGCCATTAGCGTCTCTTCATGCCACCGCTTCATGTCACTTCATTGTTCCCCAGTTGGCAACAGCTCTGCAGAAATGACCCCATTTGGAAATGTTTGTGGGAGTCTGAGCAAAAGATCTACACAGCCCTCTTCTGGGGAAACACGAGGGTTATCAGAACTACCTTTTCTCAAATACCCATTTCATGCCAGAGCTCCATCTCCTCACTGCTCAAGATGTGGCCCGTGCACCCCCACATAAGCATCCGCTGGGGGCTGAGGACCACACCTCTCATTCCCTGCCCAGACCTGCCAATTCTGACGCTGCATTTTTAGTGTCTTTTGTTTGTTTGGTTTGAGACAGGGTCTCACTCTGTCACTCAGGCTGGAGTGCAGTGGTGCAATCATGGCTCATTGGAGCTTTAACCTCCCAGGCCCAAGCAATCTTCCCATGTCAGCCTCCTATGTAGCTAGGACCACAGGCAGGTGCCAACATGCCAGGCTATTTGAAGATGTATTTTAATAAGATTTCTGGGTGACTCATGTGCTAGTAAGAGTAGGAGCTTTCCCAAACTACCACTAGAGATAAGGCCAGAGACTGGGAGTCCTGGTTTCCATTATCAAAGTGGCTGATAGTCCTGATTTGCCTGGCTGTACGGAGCTCAAAGCAATATTCCTAAGGCCCAGGATATCTCAATTTTGCTTGTTTTCAGTGTCCTGGGTCACTGGGAGTCTTTGCTGTCCCCAGGATCCACTTCCCAATTTTCCAGTAACTTTCCTTACTTAGGGATCAAGTCAAGTCCACCCCTAATATGTGAGGTCTCAAGGTGTAGAGGCCATGAGGGTGCACCTTGCAGACCTCTAACTACAGGAGGTGAAGTTGACTGAGGACCCCAGCACTGAACTATGACATTCATCACTGTTTTGCTCAGGAGGGGCTGCATTTCCCGTGGCTGCCCCTAGCCAGTGACTGACAACAGCAGGGACACTAAGGCAGGTTTGTTCCTGATACACATGGGACTTTATGGATGGTGGACTTTGGCTTGAGGATCCACCTTCCTCCCCCCATGGCTTTGCTGAATCTCCTTAGGCTGCACCATGGTCTAGAACACTTCCACCCTGCCTTCCTTCCCTCTCTCCTTTACTCTGGGGGTCAGACCTGCATGGCTCACCCAGCCTTCTGCAGCTGGCTCCCGCTTTATTTCCTCCCATAGGTATTTCTCTTAATAAAATGCTTGCACATTTAGTCCTACCTTGGTATGGGATTCTTGGAGGACCCAGTTACATGCAGGGCAGGAGGACAAACTAAGTCCCACAAAGTCCCAAGGTTTCTCCCCACCTCTCCAAGCCCAAGGTGGGCAACCTCTGTTCATAAGATGCCCCTAGCATGCATCTCCCTTGACTCAGCCTTTATGTTCCTTGAAGGAAGCTGAGGCCAGGGGAACAGCTTTGAATTTAGATTTCTCAGGCTTCCAGAGTTTCCCGTGGGATGAAGTGTCAGGAAAGGAGCGCAGCTTCTTTCCACCCCAGTTTTCCATATCCCCAGGACTCAAGTGCACTCAAGAGGTCTCCTGGTTTCTACATCCAAACTGCACCCATATCCCACCACCCCCTTAACAACTGTCCCTCGTGTCTAGGACCAGAAGCCTCAGCATCTGCTGGGAGGACAGATGCAGGGAGGTCTATGCAGAGCCTGGAATAAGGCCTGGAACTAGTAAAGTATGGAATTCAGGGATTCCACTACCCAGAGCAAAGTCTTCCCTTAGGCCCCATGGACTTCCCATCCTGTGGGAAGGGACATAGCCCAAAGAGGCCAGAGTGGAGTCCCCCAAGACTAGGTCTAACAATTCATTGTATTCAGCTGTTCCCCACCCTTAGTCCCTGAAGCCAGCATGGGCCCCACCCCAGCTCCCGGGGCAGACATATCACCTAGATATTAGCCACAGTGAGTGGTTCTTGGATGGCCAGCTGACCTAATGAGCCTCACAAAACCTCTCAGTGAGAAAGCTAGGAGAGAAGCATGTGTTCCACGTGCTGACCTTGGGCTTGGGGAGATAGAGATTCCCAGAGCACTGCTGCCATCTTTCCCCCTTAGAAGATGGCCTGTAGCTCCCAGAGGCGGCTGTAGGGAGTCCAGGAATGAAGCCAATACAGCAGAAGGCAGAGCCAAGAGAGGGGGAAAAAGAAACAGAAGCAATTGCAGCCAGTACCAATCTGAACCCTCAGCTTCCTTCAGTTACACAGGTTCATCCACCACTCAAAACAGAATAAACCCAAAGACATATATATGGCCTCTACCTTGAACTCCAGTCTTATTAAGAACAAGAGTGAGCGGCTTCATGCAAACTCTGTTCTCACTCCTAAGAAACCCAAAAGCTCACCAAAGAAGAGATATATTTGCCAACTAAGCCCATGAAAAGATGCTCACCATTATTAATCATTAGGGAATTCGAATTAAAACCATAATGAAATAGCACTACTTATCCACCAGAAAGGATAAAATTTTAAACCAGAGAAAGAAAATGAAAGAAACTGGCAATATGGAATACTGGCAATGATGTGAAACAACTAGAACTTTCATACACTGAAAGTAAGAATGCAAAATGGTACAGCCCTTTGGAAACACAGTTTGGCAGTTTCTTTTGTAGCAAACATACTCTTACTAGGTTACCCAGTAATGCTATTCCAAGGTATTAACCCAAAAGAAATGAGACATACATCTACAAGAAGACTTATATGTCAATGTTCACAACAGCATCCTTCATAATCACCAAAAACCGAAAATAGCCTAAATGTCTCTCAATAGGTGAATAAATAGACCAAATATGGAACAACCATACTGATATGATTTGGATCTGTGTCCCCACCCAAATCTCATGTTCAAATGTAATCCCCAGTGTTGGAGGTGGAGCCTGATGGGAGATGATTGGATTGCGGGGGTGGATTTCCTCCTTGGTACTGTCATCAAGATAGTGAGTAAGTTCTTGAGAGATCTGGTTGTTTAAAGGCATATAGCACCTCTCCCCTTGCTCTCTTCCTCCTGTTCCGGCCATGTAAAGTGCTGGCTTACTCTTTGCCTTCTGCCATGATTGTAAGTTTCCTGAGGCCTCCCCAGAAGCCAAGCAGATACCACCATGCTTCATGTACAGCCTGTGGAACTGTGAACCAATTAGACTTATTTTCTTTATAAATTATCCAGTCTCAAGTATTTCTCTATGGCAATGCAAGAACTGACTACCACAGTGAAATATTACTTGGCAATCAAAAGGAGCAAACTACTGTATACACAACATGGGTGAATCTCAAAAGCACTATGCACAATGAAAAAGGTCAGACACAGGAAGCTACACATGGAATGAATCCCTTAAACGACATTCTGGACAAGTCAAAACTATAGGGACAGAAATCAGATCAGTGGCTGGCAGGGGTTGGGGTGGGGGAAGAAGAAAGAAGAAACCTTTCGGAGTGATTGAGGGGTTCTATAGCTTGGTTGTGGTGGTGGTTACATGCCCATAAATATTCGTGAGGAATCATTGAACTGTACATTGAAAAAGGGCATATTGTATTTCACTGAATGTAAATTATATGCCAACAAACATGACTTCATATATATATTGATATGTTTGGATATTTGTCCCCTCCAAATCTCATGTTGAAATATAATCCCCGACGTTGGAAGTGGGGCCTGATGGGAGGTGTTTGGATCATGGGGGTGGATCCTTCATGAATGGCCTAATGACATCTCTTTGGTGATGAGTGAGTTCACACAAGATCTGGTTGTTTAAAAGTGTATGCACCTCCCTCTCTTTCTTGCTTCCATGCTCAGTGTGTGACATGCTGGCTCCCTGTCACCTTCTACCATGATTGCAAGCTTCCTGAGGCCTTCACCAGAAGCTGAGCAGATGTTGCCGTCATGCTTCTCATTCAGCCTACAGAACCATGAGCCAATTAAACCTCCTCTCCTTGTAAATTACCCAGCCTCAGGTATTTCTTTATAGAAATGGAAGAACAGTCTAACACATACACCAAGTGAATACCAGTGCTTATCATGTGTTCCAAATCCTTTACCTGAATTAGCTCTTCTAACCCTCCTAACAACCCTACAAGGTGTGAGCTATTTTTATTACCATTTTACTGATGAGAAAACAAACATAGAGAGAAGGAGTTACCTGCTAAACATCACCCAGCTAGCAAGTGGTAGGCTTGGGACTCAAACCCAAAAAGTGTGATGCAGAGCCCATGCCCATCCCCACTGTACCACAGTTTGCAAATGGGGGCACGGAGGCCAAATCATTTGCTACATTCACCAACGAGGTCAGAGAAGGGAGAATGGGAGCAAATAGGGTTTAGAAAAAGAAAAACCTTGTTCCAGGCCCAAACATGCTGATTTTCCCACAGTTGCTGCTCCAATTCTTCTGGCTAATTCTTCAATGCCAGCCAACTCCCTCTGGACCCCTAACGCGAAAGCCCAGCAAGATTCTGCGAGAGAAAATGACTGCTTCCTAAAAGCACCCAGTGGATTTCCCTGACACATCTTGTCGGCACTCAGAATGCCCACGACAGCTTCTCCTGAAATATTTTCCAGGTGAGCTCTCTGACTGCCCCAGACTCTCAGACTTGCCTCTGATTACTCCTGTTCCCTCACGGCTGGAATCGCCTGTTGACAAGACCTCTCACTCCTTCCAAGCCCAGATCTGACCTTCCCCAATTTCTTAGATCAAATGCAGAAGCAGGTGCTTAAGGAGGGTGACTGGATGGTGTTAAAAGCTGATTTCTCCTCCTCTTAACATGCGAGTTGGAAGGTGGTGACCAGAGGGGAAACATTTAGAGGCAATGTTCCTCCAGGTGCCATTTCCACACAGTGGGCCTGGAGCAAAGGCTGCTCCAACAGCAGGAAGAAAACCCACTGGGGCTGCCCGCTGGGGCTCTGGGCCTGACACAGGGGCACATTGGATAGATATTGCCAGGTCTGGAACTTTGTAAGGGGTTGCAAACATCTGTGCTGCAATGTTCTTCCCAGCTCAACTAGAAAGATGTACCAGACTTTACACAAAGGCTCCCCCAGGAAGTAGTTGAAATGCAGTTTCCACAGACCCTTAAAAGTGGCAGAGTAAGAACATCTGCCAAAACAGGAAAAATGTTTAACAACTTGACAAGGAATTTTTAAAAATCTGCCCCAGGGTTTGTCTACTGTAAATCTGTTAAAGCAGGGTTTTAGCCCAGGGATAGGAAGGTGTTGGGAATCTTGGTTCTAATTCCATTTTGAACTTGCCTATTCTCAAACCTCTTTGTCATTCCTCTGTTCTACTTTCTTCTGTCTATCAGAGCAAACTGGTTGCCTGTTGAGGGCGACCTGTGACTGACTGGTTGTGACTGTTGTAGGTTAAGAGGGATTCTGAGTCATGTATGGACTCAGTGAGAAAGAGTGTTGTGATTGATTAGTGATGTCTGCCAGGACTGAGGCAATAGGGAATGATAACGGGCAAGCCACGTATTTCCCATCTCTATCATACACAAAAAGGAAATGGTAAAAGGAGGAAGACATCAGAAAAAAAGTATCAAAACTAAATGCAATTTAGTTTACTAAAAACCACCAGATACCTTTTAGAACCTGTTTCTGACAAGCATAGCCCCAGCTACTGACTCCAGTGCCACCCCAGAGAGTCCACTAAACACTCAACACCTGCAGAGCATGAAGCATGTGGTCTTCTTCTGAGAAGAACACAGTTCCTTCTGCATAATGATGTCATTATTGTATTCTGTGATCCCACTACCCTGGCCACAGTCGATTGGTTAAAACAGTTGGAAACTTTAGGCCACAGGCACCTGTTTGGGTAAATAAAGTTTTATTGGAACACAGCAACACTCATTGGTTTGTGTATTATCTATGGTTACTTTTGTGCTACAACAATGGAACTGAGTCACTGTGACAGAGACTGCATGGCCTGCAAAGCTGAAAATTTTTATTCTCTGGCCCTTTTCATTAAAGTTTGCTGACCCTTGGATTAAAGAGTTGCCATTCAATGTAAATGTAATTGAAAAGAGGGCTTCATAATAAAAGTCAGCCATCTATAAGTTATCTTGAGGATAGTCACTGTCATGCCATATTGGCTGATGACAAATTATTTCCGTCATCAGATTCTCTCTCTTTCCCTCTCTCTCTGAGGGAGATACAGGGTGAATCAAGGTTACTAGAACTACTGCTGGATCCAGAATGGAAGTGAAACACTGGTCTTGTTTCCCATGAGTCTTGCTCTATAGCCTAGTCTTGGAAACACTGTGTTATTCCCTATGCTTTCATACTTGCCTGCATTTTTATAAAATAAACTCTCATGACCTAAGGGTAGGAGAGTTAGGGGATTTCACTTCTCATGCCACTTCTGGTAGTGCCTGTCCAGTACAGTGTCTGCAAACATGAAGCCTGGACAGGAAAGAGTACCATGATGGATCAGTGATGTCTGCCATGGGTCATGGAAGGAGAGGAGAGATAGTAATGTGTGATGTGTATTTAACAGCTAGGACTTAAGTTAATCTTTGGTGCCTTCTCTTTGCAACGTAAGAGTCTATCTTCTATATCCACCTTATTACCACCTTCTCTCATCTTCCTTGGAAGTTAGATTTAAAATGTATCATTCTGTTTGTGAATATGCACCCTTGTGCCATTTTCTCCAGAGAGTTTCATATGTAATCTTTATTTCCTCAGTCAAACAACAAACATCTCCTCAAACATGCTTAATTTCTCTTATTTTAAAAGACTCCTGGCCAGGCATGGTGGCACACACCTGTAATCCCAGCACTTTGGGAGGCCAAAGTGGGCAGATCACCTGCGATAAGGAGTTTGAGGCCAGCCTGGCCAACATGGCAAAGACCCGTCACTACGAATAATACAAAAAATTAGTTGGGCCTGGTGGCACATGCCTGTAGTCCCAGCTACCTGGGAGGCTGAGGGAGGAGAAACACTTGAGCCCTGGAGGCAGAAGTTGCAGTGAGCCGAGATTGCGCCACTGCACTCCAGCCTCGGCAACTGAGCAAGATTCCATCTGAAAAAAAAAAAAAAAAGACTCCAGCAGCAGGTGCCAAGCTCAGCACATAATACTCATTTAATGAATCCATGACGCTTCTAATTTGGGGATTGAAGGTGCCAGCTTTCCTCTTTGAGCTCTGATTCTCCATTTATTCACATCAACTTTGAGGAAGACATACCGTCTAGTTCATCTAAAAGTTTCCCTTAACAACTCAATCCCCTTTATTCTTGTGCAGTGCCATGGATATCCTATGCCCCACAAGTCCAGCTGGCTTGGCTGGGATCCACCTGGCTGCAGAGTCACTGTGTGTCCGGGTGCAGTGACTATCCACGAGAAGTTGGACTTGCCCTTTGTTTCCAAGTTCTAATCCTGACCCCTGCCTGCTTCCTTCTTGGCTTCTCTCCACCTCTAAGCTTACCTCACTCTCCAAGGCCTCCTCCCACCCACTCTGTGACCTTTCTCTCTAAAATATGGCCTACAGAGTCTCTATATAACAAAGACTCATTTGGCTGGTGACAATCATTCCAAGCCTTCCCAGGACTTTCCAGCCTCCAGATCCGAAGAAGGTTATGTTAACTTAAACACCCACAGGTCTCTAACTCATGTCCCTTACCTGTGGAATTGCAGAATCATTTCCTACTCACCTGCCCTTACCTTCCCTAGTTACTGCTTAGATTGGCCAGGGGTAGCCCTCATTTAGTAAGTTTATTCATGATCTTCTTGGTGCATGCTTTGTTTTTTTTTGTTGTTGTTATTGTTGTTTTGTTTTGTTTTGTTTTGAGTCAGAGTCTTGCTCTGTCACCCAGGCTGGAGTGCAGGGCCATGATCTCAGCTCACTGCAACGTCCGCCTCCCGGGTTCAAGCGATTCTTGTACCTCAGCCCTGCAAGTAGCTGACACTACAGGCACCTGCCATCACACCTGGCTAATTTTCGTATTTTTTGTAGAGATGGGGTTTCACCATGTTGGCCATGCTGGTCTCAAACTCCTGACCTCAAGTGATTTGCCCACCTCAGCCTCCCAAAGTGCTAGGATTACAGGTGTGAGCCACTGCACCCAGCCATGGTGCATGCCTTTTGTCACCCAGGGCCCTAAAACAGAACTGCCTGGACCCTAGTCTTATACAAATCTCCATGACAAAAACTGCTTCTCATTTCCCCTTAACTCTCCTTCTACACAGAAGAAATGCAGTCGGCTCTCAGGAAGGCAGTCTAGAGCATGATTAAGAGGACGACGTTGCACTAGACAGGTGGATTTAAATTCAGATTTCCACTCTTTCCTGGCCACTCAGATGTTAACTAAACTCCCTATGCCTCAGTTTCCACATGTGTAAAGTGGAATATTGATACGGTAATCATTAACTTATAGAATTGTGTAGGTGTATTCATTCTCTAGGGTTATTGCAAGAAATGACCACACACTGGATAGCTTAAAATAATCGAAATCCATTCTCTCATTGTTCTGGAGGCCAGAAGTGGGAAACTGAAGTGTCCACAGTGCTCATTTCTTCTGAAGGCTGGCAGGGAGGATCTGTTCCCTGCTCCCATCTTACCTTCTGGTGGCTGACAGTGGTGACAGTAGTCCTTGGAACTCCTCGGTTTATAGACACATTACCCCAAACTTTGCCTCCATTTTCTTTTTTTTTTTCTGCTCCAGTCAATGAAAGGGACACTTTATTGATCCCCAGGGCCATGAGGCCCTGTGGGGAAGGAAGAGCCTTATTTGACCTTCTTCTTGGGGCACAGGTTGTTGGCGTGGCCGCATTTCTTCTTGCAGCAGTTGACAGCACGGGGGTGAGCACAGCACTGGCACAGATCATCTTGTCACAGTTGTATTTCTGGGCAAGCCAATGGAGGGAAGGCTTAATAATGCCACCTCACAGGCGCAGCACCAGGTGAAGGGTGGACTCTTTCTGGATGTTCTAGTCTGAGAGACTGTGGCCATCCTCCAGCTGTTTGCCCACAAATATCAGACACTGCTGGTCAGGCAGGATGCCCTCCTTGTCTTGGATTTTAGCTTTGACATTCTCAATGGTGTCACTGGGCTCCACCTCAAGAGTGATGGTCTTGCCCGTGAGGGTGTTCATAAAGATCTGCATCTCTGAGTCTGCAGCTCAGCCGCCTCACTGAAGAGAAAGAGCGCCTCCATTTTCACATCACCTTCCTCCACGTGTATCTCTCCTCTGCGTGCCTCTTACAAGGACTCTTGTCCCTTAGGGCCTACCCTGATAATCTAGTGTGTTCTCATCTTTGAGATTCTTAATTATATCTACAAGACCTTTCTTTCTTAAAAAATTTTATTTTTAATTTATTTTTTATTTCCATATTTTATTTTCCATAAAAAAAATTTCCATATTTTTTATTTCCAGTCCATTGGGAACAGGTGGTGTTTGGTTACATGAGTAGGTTCTTTAGTGGTGATTTGTGAGATTTTGGTGCACGCATCACCCGAGCAGAAAAACTAAACCCAATTTGTAGCCTTTTATCCCTCACCACCTTCCCACCCTTTCCCCTGAATCCCCACAGTCCATTGTGTCATTCTTATGCCTTTGCATCCTTGTAGCTTAGCTCCCACTTATCAGTGAGAATATGATTAGGTTACTCCAGGTTACTAAGAATGCCATTAAGTCATTCCTTTCTATGGTGGTATTCTATCATATATATGTAACAGTTTCTTTACCCACTCATTGACTGATGAGCATTAGAGCTGGTTCCACATTTTTACAATTGTGAATTGTGCTGCTATAAACATGTGTGTGCAAGTATCTTTTTCATATAATGACTTCTTTTCCTCTGAGTAGATACCCAGTAGTGGGATTGCTGGATCAAAGGGTAGTTCTATTTTTAGTTCTTTAAGGAATTGCCATACTGTTTTCCATAGCTCTTGTATTAGTTTACATTCCCGCCAGCAGTGTAGAAGTATTCCCTTTCCACTGCATCCACAGCAAAATCTATTAATTTTGATTTTTTGTGTATCTGCAAGACCCTTCTTACAAATAATGTCACATTCACAGATTGTAGATGTTACGATGTAGACATATCATTTTGGGGAGCACAGTTCAACCCACGACAGTAGGATTATAAGAGATGGTGCATACACTATGCTTAGCACCATGGCTGGCACATAGCAAATAGTTTTGTTCTTATCATTCTTTAAAGGGCCAGAGCTAGGCTCTAGATTTAAAAACAAGTATCTCTGATCTTCTCCATTTCCCATCTCTCTCTCTCTCTCTCTCTCTCTCTCTCTCTCTCTCTCCCCCCCTCTGTCTGCTTAGTTTGAAATCTGCCAGAAGTTGAGCATGAAACAAGGACTTGGATACAAGTAGTTTTATTGGTGGTGGGGGTAACATGGCGGGGGAGGGTCGGAGTGGGGAGGTCAAGGTGACCTCGGGACTCAGGTGCAAGGGAATGGACAGAGTGAGCCAAGGAAGAAGGAAAAGCCAATATGAGGCTATTTTTTTTTGTTTGTTTTTTGTTTTTTGACAGAGTCTCACCCCGTCACCAAGCTGGAGTGCAGTGGCACAATCTCAGCTCGCTGCCACCTCTGCCTCCCCGGTTCAAGCGATTCTCCTGTCTCAGCCTCCCAAGTAGCTGGGACTACAGGCATGCTCCACCACACCTAGCTAATTTTTGTATTTTTAGTAGAGATGGGGTTTCACCATGTTGGCCAGGATGGTCTCGATCTCTTGACCTCTTGATCCACCTGCCGCAGCCTCCCAAAGTGCTGGGATTACAGGTGTGAGCCACCACACCCGGCTGAGGCTACTTCGTATATGAAGCAGCTGTGTAGACAATGGGATATAAATACCGTCGGAAGCTGTGAGAAGTGTACGGAATACATCCCAGAAATGTCCCGTTGATGGATCAAGGTGAGGCATTTAGACCCTAACTCCACCTGCTACTGGTTGAGGGTCACCCCCAGTGACTCCTGCTCATGGCCTCGGCAGCTTCCTACAGCTTCACAGAGGCCATGGTGCGCACTTGGATAGCATACTGTCAATTTGAGTCTGAGCTTGCAGGAACCTCTGCCCGGCAGCTGCAGCTGCATTCAGAGGTGAGCAGGTATGATAAGGAACACCTTAAATCAGCTTAAGGGGGTATGATAAGGAACACCTTAAATCTCCTTAACTCCTCACTAGAAGCCAATGCATAGATATCTTCCATGATAGGCTTATTTTTTTCATGTTGTCACAGGTTGAATTGTGTCCCCTAAAAAGATACATTGAAGTCTTAACTCCCATACCAGTGCATGTGATTGTATTTGGAAATAGGGTCTTTGCAGATGGAGTCAAGTTAAGATGAGGTCCTCAGGGTGGCCCCTGCTCCAATATGATGGGGGTGCCTTAATAAGAGGAAGAGAAATGGCAGAGGCTGCCATGCACAGGGGAAAAATGTGAAGACACACAGGACAGGGTCCACATGATGATGGAGGCAGAGATTGGACTGATGCATCTACAAGCTAAGGAATGCCAAAGATTGCCAGCAACCAGGAGATGCTAAGAGAAAGACATGGAGCACATTCTCTCCTAGAGCCTTCAGAGAGAACACGGCCCCGCTAACACCTTGATTTGTAACTTCTAGCCTTCAGAACTGCAAGAGTATCCATTTCTCTTGTTTTAAGTCACCCAGTCTGTGGTGCTTGGCTATGGTAGTCCTAGGAAATGAATAAACATGCTCATTAATTCATTCTAGCAATGCCTGGATGTGTTTTATGGGATAGAAAGGGCTCGCAAGTTCATTACTTAAACCAATCTTTGAGCCTCATTTTGGCTCAAATAGAACCCCACTGACCATGGGAGGGTTCAGGGGGGATCTGGGTTGGAAACATGTGTCCTCTTCCAAATTGCTATGCAGCTCACCCACACCATCTGCCAGCATTCTTCACCCCCTCCCCTACTGCAGACCTGTTCCCGAGATAGCTCTGCTCCCAACATCCCTGAGAGTAATATCTTGACCAACTCAGGGACCACCTTATAAAAGACTCAAGACTTCACTTGCCAGGTACAATCGCATCCATTTGCACTTCTTTAAACTGCATGCTATTCAGCTTCCCTTCCATCATCACAGTGGACTCCACTTTGAATCCTCCCAGGCTAGAATTGTAGAGTGCATGGGCCCTTGGGATTATCAACGCTCATCCTTCCCACTTTACTCTTGGAGAAATATTATAACTTTACCACCTATCACCCTAGGCCTGAGTCCTGCTCCAGGGTGGAATAGGAGTTCTGGCTTTCTCCTCCCAAACCATCTGTTCATTCTGACCTTGGTCACATTCCCTTTTTTGCAGGGGAGTGGTGCTGGGAGCATAGCGTCTTCATGCCATCTCTTCTGCTTGTGCCTGGATTGTAGCCTTAAAGATTTTATCCAGAATGTAATGTAGGCAGGAAATTCCCACCAATACCAAGGGGCTAATGACAGCCATTGTGTTTCCTTATGAAAAGCAGGGGTCAGCACCTTTAGTTGGGGAATAAATTACGAATTTGTCTTCAGTGTGTTTCTCACAGTTTCTCCTACTGTGCTGGGTGTACTAAAGACAGATGACACCCTACCCCAAAGTCAGTGTAGAAATGCAGAGAAGCTTGAGAACATGAAATAGAAGATAAGAACAGAGAGAACGGGGGAGCAGAGGGAAGAAGAAGAGAAAAGAAATCTTCAGGAACACATAGAAAACTATCTGCTGGTTAAATTCCAGGCTTTGAAATGCAAAGAATGGCATGTTCCAGTAGCTTTTTATAGACCTATGCTCTACAACATTAGAAACAAGCACAGCGGACACATAATTTCATGGTTACATCCCGATTTGGTTATTTTTGCCAGTGCAGCTAAGGGATACCCTGATCAGTAAAATCCAGATAATTTCCAAAGCTGTTGCATCAAATCCTTTGGCTTAGTCCTTCCTGCAAAACACAGGATCACTCCCTGACATTGCCAGAAAACTGTTACTGCAGACTGGCATTTCACCTTCTTTAAATGATTCTGACCACTTTCCCCAAATACAGAGGTGTTTCCAAAGTAGGAAGAACAGATAAATGTGCCAGGCACAGCATGCCTGTAGTCCCAGCTACTCAAGAGGCTGAGGCAGGAGGATTGCTTGAGATCAGGAGTTTGAGACTAGCCTGAGCAACGTAGCAAGACCGCATCTCAAAAAAAAGTTATAAAAAATTATAAAACAATAGACTACACTCCATCTTCACCCACCTCCAAAACACACAAAGGAATTCTTGTTTTCATGGTGCATGCCTGGGTCATTTCTGCAGGTGATTCATTAAAACACCTGGTTTGGAGTCATAAATTGTACACCCGTTAAGTATACATATGTTAGTTACTGCTGTGTAACAAACTAACCCAGAACTTGGTGGCTCAAAGCAACAACCATCTTACTTGAGTCTAGTTGTCTAGTTGTCTAGAGACAAGTTGTCTAGTTCTACTGATGTGGGCTAGGTACAGCTGTCTTACTCATGCATCTGTGGTCAGCGGATAGGTTGGCTGGGGGCTGGCTGGTTTAGGATGTCCTCAGCTGGGATGACTCATACCTTTCCAGTAGAGGGTGTTGTCATGGTGGTGACTAGCAGAAAAAAAAAAAAAAAACGACAAAACAAAACACAGTTTCCAGTGTCTGAAGTGAGTTTGTTACCACCCCATTGTCCAAAACAGGTCACATGCTCAAGCCACAAACTGTGTAGGGCACTACCAAAGGTTATAGGCACAGGGAGACATCAAAATGAGATGCATGTCTCCAATCAATTTACTAGAGGGTAGAAACTGCACAGGTAGCTATTCAACAATAGTATGCTAGCTACATACAGAAAACAAAATGAAAAGTTTGGAAAATTATCTGATCATCCCCTTGATCAGTCATCAGAAAACATTTTAGTAAAGAGCTAGGTAGTAAAATTGCAGGCTTGCAGAACGTGCAGTCTCTGTCACAGCTACTCAAGTGTGCCACTGTAGCATGAAAGCAGCTATGGAATACATAAATGAATGAGTGTGGCTGTGTTCCAATAAAACTTTATTTGCAAAAACAGGGGGCTAGCCCATGATCTTGGTCATCATTCATGAAACTGACATTTGCTGGGGTCAGACTATGGGCCAGGCACTGTGGATGTGAAGATGAATAAAACATGTCCCAATGAGCTTTCAGCCTAATATGGAGACTGGCATACTGTAAGAGCTCAACAAATACGCAGTGAGTTAACATTAATGGGAAGATAGGTAATAAAGAAACACAATGGAAAGGAATGTTGCTGGGGCCATAGAAGTCTAGACAGGGTGCAAGGGATAGGAAGAAAGAGGCTTCCAGGAAGAGGTTACGTTTGAAGACTGTGTAGGCGTTCTCACAAGCATATCTAGGGTAGAGTTTGGAATTCCAGGCTGAGGGAACAGAGAGATTAGAGACCAGGTGATGAAAAAGAACTTGGCGAATATTTAAGCGGGGCTGGACCAAAGGGTGTTTCATTTAGCTTTCAATTTTTTTGGCTGGGTCTAGATTCTTTTAAGCCTAAATTATTCGAAGGTTCAAATTTCCGCAATCCTTGGGGAATACCCAGTACCTGAGGTATTATGACAGCATGTCTTTTCGCCCTACCAAATTTAAAGAAGCGATATGGCGCATAGAGAATGAACCAGATTAGGAATCAGAACTGGGCTCTAATTTCCCTCACTCCTCTCATTGCTCCCTGGATAACCATGACCATTTCACATGCCTCTTTATGCCTCAATTCCCCTAACTACAAAACGGGGGAAATAATGTCTCATAAGATCGCTGTAAGAATTCCAAGAAATATCTACGATGTGCTTAAACACACTGCCTGGTTGGGGATAAACACTCAGAAATGCTAGCTAGCTATCCTCATCTTCATTGTTATCATTGTTGATCATCATTGCCATCTTCATTTACTCTTCTCTCTACCCAATCCGTCCTTGAAACTCCCTACCCCAGACACTGAAGCCTCCAGAGATGAACCCAGAACTGGCTCCAGAAACAAGTCCCCCACCCCCTGCTGTTTGTTGGGTGGGGTGAGTCGGGGGACGCTGTCTGAGTCTCTGTTGTGTGCACAGCCAGCGAAGATGCCTAGAGCAGGGTTGGAGACAGGCAGTGGCGGAGGCTGCGAGTTGCTCGCCAACAAACAAAAGTTGCCTTTCATCTGATCCAGTGCTCCCGAAGAGGAATCACTTCCTCCTGCCTGGGCGTTTATGAAAGCCGACAGCAGAGGCGAGAAAACAGCCAGCTCTTTCTGCGCGTGATAAAACCATTACAATCAATTTAGGCAGCTCACAGGCGCGCAGACACTCTGTGTCGACTGGATTCTGTTACCGGGAGTGGGGTGGGGGGAGCTGGGGCGGGGTGGGGGGCGCGAGGGGGGCCTTCTGGGAGACTGGAGCATTCGGCCTTCCGCGGATGGGCCCCATTACGGCTGCAGGCTGGCGCCACTGCTGCGGGGGCTCGCTACCCAATGAAAGTGTCATCCAACTGGAAGATGGGGGGGCTACCAGTGTTAGCTTAACTCCTGCGGTCTCGCAGACTAATTGCTCACGGTGGAAACACGCCTCAAAGTGCTTTGGCCTCGTCAATAATAGGGTATCAGATGCTTTCCATTCCACAGCGCATTGATCTGTTTCCTCCCCAGGCCTCCTCCTGGCTCCGCTCCCTGGCGTCCCCCCACCGGTGCTGCCCTGGCTTCTACCTCTGATGACTCTTCTTCCTTTTTTTTTTTTATAAGTGTTTTCTAAGCGTGTGTTTAGCATGAGTGGTGCCTAAGTGCTAATTGTTACACCACAGATTGATTGGCGACGAGATGGCTTGCCAAGTTCCTCCAGTCTCCCGGGGGGAGGAGGGCGGGGCGGAGGGAGGAAGGGTGGGGAGGGCTTAGGGTGGGGGTGGCAGCGGTTGTCGGAGGGAGGAGGAGAGGGGAATCCTTGATACTTCTGAGTTGCCTCTGAATCTATGTCTTTCTGGGTTGGAAACTCGTGCCTGCCGTCGGGGAGATTCAGTGAGGGGGCAACCTCTACTGATACTTTGTTATTTGAGAAAATGGCATTGCTTTCTTTGCCAGTGCTGAATAAACCCTGGAACAGGCTGCAGCTGATGGAATCAAGCAGGGAGGATAAGTAGTGGGGTCAAACGTCCTTGCTGTCCCGGGCAGGGAGCACGTTGTTTTATCCATGACACCCCCTCAACAACCCCCAGTCCAGGTCTAGGTTAGGGTCCCTGCCAAATGCCCTGAGAAATAGAAGTCTGTACTTAGCCCATCATCCCTTTTTGGAGTTACTTATTATCTGGTGCTTTCCACTGACCTGTTTTCCACAATGGTGGGAACCTAACGCGGAGCGTGTCAGGTTCATGTTGCCCCCAAAACATTTATTCTCATTCATCCAGACCACTGGGTTTTGAGGTCTTTGGAAAATGGGGTTAGCTGAGCCTGTCAAGATTCCCGCAGGTGGGATTCCTTTGACACCTAAAATCCTTCCAAAGGCAATGCTGGATGCTTCCTTATAAGGCATAGAAACTCTGTCTTGGCAATGAATACGCTGAAACACTTGCACCTGACAGGTGAACCTAAAATCTTTGGGTGTGTGCCTAGTTCAAATGAGACAGCATGGAGTCTATTAATCCAGTTGTGAAATCCAACCAGCTTTGGAGAGCAGCTTCTGACCCACTTGGAAACTCTATCCTCCAGGTGGAAAGTGGGGGGCCTAAGAGACATAGGCGGTGAGGTGCACTTGGAAGGCAGACAGCCTGAGCTCCACCTCTCATCCATCTGGTGACACTGGACAAGGCACTTAACTTCTTAGTGCCTCAGTTGGCTCACTTGTAAAACAGGGATAATGGCAATGCCCAACCCATATCAGGAGGGCAAAATGAAAAGCCATCTGGTGATTAATAAATATTCCATCAGCAGTGGCTGGTACAATCACTGCTTTGTAATCTTTCTTCTTCGTTCTGAAATACTCAGCATTGTATAGTCTTGCTGCTCAAAGTATGCTCCGTGAGCAGTGACTTCAGCTCATCTGGAAACTTTTTAGAAGTGCAGAATCTCAGATACTGCCCCAGACCTACTGAATGGGAATCTGCATTTTCACAAGATTCCCCAGGAGATTTGGGAGCACACTGAAGTTTGGGAAGTACCAACTTATACATACTAGAACCCCTTCTTCCCCAATCCAGAGCATAGTAAATGCACAGCTTATATTTGGACTTCTTGGGGAGGGCAAGCATGACATTTAACAGCTACCCCAGGATGAGACAACTTCACTTGCTTTACAGTGGACACGAACATGAGCTCTCATTGGAGTTTTACCCTTTGGCCAACCAAGAGCTACAGGTATCTAAGGCTTGGTTTTGCAACTTTCTCTTGGGACAAGCATCCTTGGCATTTTCCTAAGAGATTGGCTGGCTTCCTGGGAAATGACAGCTCTGGACAATTCTTCCCTGAAAATACGCAGCAGAGTCATAGTTTACCTGCAGCCTTCCCCAGTTGATGGAGTATCCAGGCAGGCAGTAGAATAGGATGGTTCAGAATATTGGTTATGGGAACAGCCCTGAGTTCAAGTGCAGAGAACAGCTTGTGGGACATAAACCCATTAATCCACCTCTATCCATTCTGTGCCCGCCCTGGGACCTCTGCATGTGCAGCCTTTGCTGGTCTCTGCCTCTTTCTCGTTATTCAAATTTGAACTAAATGTTACCTCCACAGAGACACCTCCCTTTCTGACCTCCTAAAGCAATCATCCTCTATGTAATGACCCTATTTCTTCTTCTAAAGCACTTACCAGTGACAGAAGTTACCTCATTTGTTTCTGTGTTCCTAATCTGTGTCCTCCCATCCACCAATTAGAACATAACTCCTTGGGGACAGTAGTTCTGTCCTTGTTACCAGTGAAACCACAGTGCCTAGAACAGCAGGTAGTACAAAGTAGATGCTCCAGAAATTATTGTGGACTGACTCCTTCAAGTTTCTCATCTGTAAAATGGAGATAAAAGAGTGACTTATTTGCTTAGAATGGAAGTGAGGTGACCACGTAAAGCTCATAGATCAAGAACATATACCAGGCCAGTGCTCAATATATAGAAGTGGTTATTTATAGCGTAATAGTGGTATAATTTAATACTGAAAACAAGCTCAAAGAGATATTTGCTTACCTCTATCTTTGACATAAATACTATTACTATTTCTACTACCACAACCAATAATAATAATCTAACAAGACAGTCACACGTGCGAAAGCCAAGCCCACTCTTATCTCAAACTGGTATTTTGGTGTCTGCATATGTTTGCTTGGGGACAGAAGTTAAAATACACAGAGACGTGAATTCCGCAGTACCAAATAAATAGTTGGTGAATTAACAAATGAATTGTACTTTCCAACTACCTGTCCTTGGGCAGGCTACTGTGCCTGTGCAAGCCTCAGCTTCCTCATCATGTCATTTGGGGTAATAATAGCTATTCCATGGAGTTGTGGTTGTAGTGAAGATAGACAGAGACAATGTGTTTGAAAGCAGTGGTTTGGTATATAGAACTCCTTCAGCAAATATTGTCTTTTCTAATTTTATTCTCTCTCCAGCGCCTGTGGTGGAACCATACTTGGAAGTATTTGCCTCATTTTATAGACAAGGGAATGATATTCAGAGAGGTTTGAAGGCTTTTCCAAGTTTCTCTCCCTCTTTGTCCCCCTCTTCCTCCCTCCCTCCTTCCCTCATCCCCTTCTCTTTCATACACACACTCTTCTTAATTAGGGAAATAATGAAAACTCAAAAATTTTTTTTAATCCCAGATCATTCCCAACAAGAAAAGGCAACAAGACTCCAACCCAGTTCCAGCCATTAGCTTTGAAATTTTCTAAGTCTATAGCAATGATATTGGTTAACACCAGAGGGTTTTTTGTTTTGTTTTTTTTGAGATGGAGTTTCTCTCTTGTTGCCCAGGCTGGAGTGCAGTGGCGAAATCTCGGCTCACTGCAGCCTCCGCTTCACGGGTTCAAGTGATTCTCCTCCCTCTGTCTCCGAGTAGCTGGGATTACAGGCGCCCACCACCACACCCGGCTAATTTTTTGTATTTTTAGTAGAGACGGGGTTTCGCCATACTGGGCAGGTTGGTCTCAAATTCCTGACCTCAGGTGATCTGCCCACCTCGGCCTCCCAAAGTGCTGGAGTTACAGGTGTGAGCCACCGCACCCGGCCTGAAAGTCACTTTAAGACCTATAAACAAATCCTGGAAAAATAATTATTATCTGGGAAGGACTGCTGATCATGTTGTCTTAGGTCACTGGTTTTCAGACCATTTCTTTAGCTTTAGTGCTATTAGGTCACGCAGGTTCTTACTCACATGGAGCCACAAATGATGATAATTATGACGACAATGGTGAAGACGATAGCTAAAATTCTGAGCAGTCACTATATGCCAGGAACTCTATGTAACATTCAAGACGCATTTTCTCATTTAACTCTCAGAGTAACCCTATAACATAAGTATTATTTCTGTCTGCCTTTTACCAGTGAGGAAGCTGAGTCTTCAAGAAAGAAAGTCGCTTCTACAAGGTCACGGAATTAGTAACTGGCCAGCCCTAGACATGAAGCCAGGTCTGTTTAACATCCATCATGACACAGTGACTTCTGATCATGTCCAGTAGAAACCTCTGAAGAAACTTGGGGAACAGATTTGGTCTCTGGTGACCCCAGTTTAAAAATCACTAACCTCAGTCCTTTCTAAATCCAAGAATCTATAATGTTAGTTTGTTGGGTATTTGAGTCTCATCATCCCCTCTGGTGTTCATTGTAAAAGCTGAAAGAGGAAATGAAGAACTAACCAAGAAAGACATAAGAACACAAGCCCTATTGCTATTTCTTCTCCATTGCCCCTTTGGCCACAACTTAGAGGGTAATTAGCCTCCCACTGCAGGCAGGCTGCATTTTGGAGAAAATTCCTAGGTTCAAATCCTAACTCCACTGTTCTAATTGCTGTGTGACTTTGGGCAAGTACTTTGATGTCTGTCAGCCTCAGTTTCCTCATCTGAAAAATGGAGATAATGATACCAACCCCACTGAGTCATTATTGGATTAAATGAGATGGTCCATTTAATTGTTAGCCCACTACCTGGCTTATGGTAAGCACTCCAAAAAAAAAAAAAAAAAAAAAAAAAACTACATGAGTGAGAGATTACCTCTTTATTCTATGGTTGGCAAGGTAAAAGACAGATTTTTCTGAACTTTTCTTTAGTATCTAAAATGTGTGACTATATTTGTGCTTTAAAAATTTTCCATAACAGCTAAGTAACTTTTTTTTTCAAATTAAATCTTAAACAGAGACCATATAAAAGTAAGACAGGGTGGAGAGCCATTCTATTTGAAGTAGCAGCCCTTCTGTCAATAACCCCTTTAACACAATCACAGAAGCCTTGGATTCTTGTGACCCAGTTTAAAAACCATTAAGCTACCCAACTGCATGTGTCCTGTGCTCAAGAGCAAAGCCCCTTTCCTCCTCCCCACCTGCTCCATGAGGAGACTGAATAGAAGGCCCTATGGCTCCAAAATCATGTTGCTGTTGTGGTTATTGTTGTTTCTTTCTTCTGTTTCTAGAAATTTCTAGTAGAATTTTATGATAAGGTATAATTTAGGCCAATCTTATTTATTATGCAACCAGTCTGAATAAATGAATGGATGCATAGGTAAATAAGTGACAAATTGATGAGTAAATGGAAGTGTGAATGAATGGATAGGTGGGTGGGTAGGTGGGTGGATGGATGGATAGACGGGAAGGTGGTGGATGGATGGGTGGATGGATGGGTGGATGGATGGATGGATGAATAGATGGAATGGGTAGATAAATGTGAGCTTGAATACAATGGGGAAGTATGGGATGAATGGATGGATGAATGGGATGACAAACATGGATGGGCTGGGATGGGATAGGATGGGTGGTAGCCAGGTGGAGTAATGAATGAATAAGTGCAAAACTGAGATAGAGGTATAAGTGGGTGGGTGACTGTGATGATGGGCAAATGGATGGACAGGTGGGTGATTGAGTAAGTAAATGGATGATTGTATGGGTAGATGGATGTACGAATGGATGTATGGATGAAGAATAGATGGATGGACAATGGATAAATGGACAGATAGATGATGGATGGGTGGGCAATGCATAGATGGATGGGTGTATAGATGGATGAACAAATGGCTCAGCAGAGGGATGAGTACTAACAGTTTAACCTGTCCACGCGAGCACTGATAGTGCACTCTGTTACAGTAGAAATAAAAGTCTGACTGAGAGGGAGTGAGTGACAGGAGAGAGACTAAGTAGTGGCCACGGGGCTCAGTGATAGGTGCCACCTTTAGTGCTCAGTGACCTAAGACAACATGATCAGCAGTCCTTCCCAGGTGCTGGGAAGCACCTTTTCCAGGATCATGATGTCATCTAATCCTTACCACTGCACCAGAGGGAAAGAAATCCTATTCCATTTTGCAGAAGAGGAGATTGGGGTTTAGAGAATTTCAATCAACTTGCCCAAGGCTGTGCAGCGATTAAGTGGCAAACCCAGGTCCCTGTTACACCACCATCATACTTTCTGCATAGAGATTCTCCACCTGTAGATAATTTTCCAGAAATGTAAAAGAAAGTTATTAAAAGCAACATAGCTAAAGGAAAAAAAGGAACAGCAGAGAGGAAAAGGAAAAGGCTTAAGGGTATGAAAAGACTAACATTTATTGGGCACCCATGTATACCAGACTCTGTGCTTTATATATGCTTTCTGGCTAACTTTGACAGCCCATTAGGTTGAGATTCTTAACTTCATTTTGTAATCAGTAAATTGAGGCTCAGTGTGGTTAAAGAACGCTGCTGCTAGAGTCCTATTCTAATTTGTCAGGGATTTGAACCCTCTTCAGGTTGGGAATGAAACTTGACGAAGCTGCCTTGAAGATCCGTCCTTTTGCTATCAATTTCACGAGATGGAATTTCTAAAAATAAAGGAAGAAGAGGAGAAGAGAGAGGAAAGGAAAGAATATATACAAATATCCAAATATGGAAGATAAGGAAAAGAAACATGACCAAAAGGAGGAAAAGAGAGGAAACCAATTTTATACAAAGAGAAGTAAAGGGAAGATGAAGAAGAAAAGAAAAGGCGAAAGAAGACAAAGGACCCAAGAGAGGAAACCAATTTTATACAAAGAGAAATAAAGGGAAGATGAAGAAGAAAAGAAAAGGCGAAAGAAGACAAAGGACCCTTTTCTTGATCCTCTCTTGTCCAGAGAAACCGCAGCACAAATTGCAATGGACGGTTCCCCCTCTCGCAAAGTGCCTTTTAGCTTGCGCGCCTGCCTCTGAGGGCCGGGGCGAGAGAGACGGCTGGCGTCGGCTGCAACGGCTGCAACGAGTCTGAAGGCGCTGGCAAGAAAATCCCAAGGAAAGCTCAGTGTCTGGGGTCATCCGATTAAAGGAGGCAATGAGGCTGCAAATGGAGGAGACAGGGGGAAGGGGAGAGAGGAGGGGGATGGCGAGGGGGGCCGCTGACCCCCATGACCTTCTGCCTGCACTAACCTGATATAACAAATAGTCCTGGAAAACAAAATAGTATTAACCCTTGGAGCCAGGTCAACCCCTTCTGCATTTGGCTGGGCCTGTTGGACTCTGCTTCCTAGAAGGTTTAACTCTTTCGTGGTGTCCTTTCATCGCCACGTTATTGCCCCACTCTCAAATTCATCCAGATTCACCCGATTAGAATTAGATGCCCATGGGAGGTGCGGAGGTCCCCGTGTAGTCAATGCAGACACAGAGGAAGTGTCTCCCGCTCATCAAAAACTGGGCAAGAGCTTCTGGAGAGAAAAATGATCTCTAAATTTTTCATCAAGTCTGAGATTGTATATTGACTCGATTCTATTAAAACAGCCATCTTTCTTCCTATTCTCCCTCCCTAGTCTGAAAGTTAGATTAATATAAAGCCTTGCTAAGTGTGGTTCATGCACAGGTAATATCAGCGTTACCTGGGAGCTTGCCAGAAATGTAGGATCTCAGGACCCCACCCGAGACCCGCTGAACCAGAATCTACATTTTAATAACACCCCTAGATAAATGGTATGCAAATTTCAGTTTCAGAAGCACCCATAAACCCATTATCCAGCTTAAGAAATAGCTTTCCTTGGCTGGGCGCCATGGCTCACGCCTACAAGCGTGTATTACATACAACACTTTGGGAGGCCAAGGCAGGCGGATCACCTGAGGTCAGGAGTTCAAGATCAACCTGGGCTACGTGGAGAAACCCTGTCTCTACTAAAAATACAAAAATTAGCCAGGTGTGGTGGCACACGCTTGTAATCCCAGCTACTCAGGAGGCTAAGGCAGGAGAATCATTTGAACCTGGGAGCCAGAGGCTGCAGTGAGCCGAGATCGTACCACTGAACTCCAGCCTGGATGACAGAGTGAATGAGACTCTGTCTCAAAAAAAAAAAAAAAAAAAAAAAAAAAAAAAGAGAAGGAAAAAAAAGAAAAGATAAAGAATAGAAGAATAGCTAGAAATAGGTTTCCTCTTTAGAACATCTGCCTGAATCAGAAATTGAACACACACACACCTCAAACACAACAATGGCAGTCTTTTTGTTGTTTGTTTTTGAGATGGAGTCTTGTTCTGTCACCCAGGCTGGAGTGCAGTAGTGCAGTCTCAGCTCACTGCAATCTCTGCCTCCCAGGTTCAAGCGATTCTCCTTCCTCAGCCTCCCAAGTAGCTAGGACTATAGGCATGTGCCACCATACCTGGCTAATTTTTGTATTTTTAGTAGAGACAAGGTTTCAAATATTGGCTTGGCTAGTCTCGAACTCCTGACCTCAGGTGATCCACCAGCCTTGGCCTCCCAAAGTTCTGGGATTACAGACGTGAGCCACGGCGCTCGGCCAATGGCATTCTAACTTGACCAAATTGTTAGGAGTTTTGATGTTTAGGAGAGGGTCAAAGAAGTAATCATGTTAATTGATCAAGTACTATAACTAGAGTGAGTATTAAACTTGGTGGTTTCTGTAGAGTAGACAGCGGTTGTTTTTGTCATTCCAGCCTCACTTCCCCTGTTATTCTGGTAAAAGTGCCCCCCCCTTCTTTGAGGCTACTCCTGCTCACTCACTCCAAGTGGTTCTGATGGGACCATCACCCTGACCTCTGATTGGATGACTCAAGCCAGACAATTAGAATCCTTCCCTAGGATTTTGTATGCTGTGTGGCCAAGTAGGCTGGAATATGTGGAGCCTGGGATTCCTGTAGCCAGTCACTTCTCCACCTGGCTGAATGGTCCACAAATGGATAGAAGGCCCATCTTCTGGTAGAGAGAAAAGGAAAAACACAGAAGAAAGCCAAACCCAGGAATAAGGAGATAGGGAGAACATGGGCCACCCTTTGGGTCCCTACAGCTTCTGAGGTAAGCCCCACTCTGGACTCCTGAATATGTGTGTTCAATAAATCCCCTTTAGGGCCCAGGGTAACCTGAGGAGGCTTTTGTTTTTTGCATCTGAAATAGTCCAGACTCTGAGCCATCAGCTTACTCTGTGACCTTGAATTTCTTGGACTCAGCCACCTCATTCAAGCTGCTTGCAGCCCTGCCATGATTTTCTGTTCTTCTGAACTATTAACCGCTATGGTGAAGCTGCCTTGGCACAGAGACCATCCTCCAAATTCCAGGGCCTTGGAGGTCTCTGCTGCAACACCTCCTTCCTGGGGAGATTCTCCCTGACTCCCAACTTCCAGATTGCCTGACAGTCACTCCCATAACACTGCCATTTGCAGTACTCGTGATGATGAAAACCTCTCCCTGCAAAACTACAAGCTGCCTTGAAGATCCGTCCTTTGGCTATCAATTTCACGAGATGGGATTTCTAAAAATAAAGGAAGAAGAGGAGAAGAAAGAGAGAGGGAAGGAAAGAATATATACAAATATCCAACTAAGGAAGATAAGGAAAAGAATCAGAAATTGAACACACACGCACCTCAAACACAACAGTGGCACTGGTTGTGTCTATCTTGGTTGCCATTAAATGCCCAGGGTCCTGCCCAGAGGAGGCACTTCATAACTCCTTCTTGAGCCAATAAATTCTAAATATGTAGAGTTGTCTACATTAGCAATGGATGGAGAAGCCAGAGAGAAGTGGATGGGGGGAGAGAATACGTCTCCTAAACTTTCTCTTCTGGGCAGTGCGTGATAAGCAAAATCTTTAACAACCAGTATGGCATGGGAACTAATGAACTGAAATGGAATCTAGCCATATACAACCCACATGAACAAAATGTTTCTAGAGATTATGTCCCTCTGTCTGGATTCCAACATGAAGGGCTCAGAGTACTAGGAGTGATTTCAGACCCTGAGGGGTACTCAGACTATGGGTTGCATCCCCCTTCTGCCAATATCCACTCTATTTTCCCTCTCCAAGCAAAATCTTCACTTCAGCACCTCATGTTCAGAAATGCCATGTGCAAAAATCAGTCTGCTATTGGATTCTGGAGCTGGAAAGGTTCCTTGTTGAGTCCAAACCCTTTATTTCACAATATGCTTAATAGGTTCAGAAGATGATATAACTTGCCAAAGCCAAGTAATAGCAAAATGAGAACCAGAACCCACCCCTTCTAATTTTTTCTACTATACTACCCTAGGAGGATGGACAAAGGATGTTAACTCCATTTGAAATGAGTCCAGAGAGCCAACAGGGCTTGCTTGATGACTCGCAGTGGTTAGGGCAGAGTGAGAGCAGGGATCCAGGTTTCCTGACTCCACAGGCCATCTGTAAGCACTTCTCTTATACTTTCTTCTCTTTTTTATCAGTCTTTGTCTTTTTCCCTCAATCTTCCCTCCCTGATCATTTCCTGCTTCTCTCTTTATCTTTCTTCTTCAGACACTGCTTAAACTCTGAGAGTCAAATACCAGAGACTCTGCCTGCCTCTGGCAACATGGACAACTAATGCTGGTAATGATGAAGATAACAATGATGCCAGGGGTGGTTATTTACTGAGCTCTTGCTCAGCACCAGGCACTATGCTGAGGGCCTCCATCGATTATCTCATTTAACCTACAAAGCAACCTTATGGAATAATATTATGTGCTCATGCACAAACAGCTATTTATTAGATGTCCACCATGCCAAACATTGGGCTAGGAGCCGATAACAGGTTAGTGAATTAGTTCTCTATTGTTGCAAAGCAGATATTCCCAAGACTTAGTGGCTTAAAATAATAGCCATTTATTTTCTCACATTATCTCTGTGGACTAGGAACTCAGGAGTTGCTTAGCTGAGCAATTCTGGCTCAGGATCTTTCAGGAGGTGGCAGTCAAAATATCAGCCAGGGTTGCGGTCCTCTGAAGGTTGGATCTGGGGGATTGGCTTCCACCATGGGACACTCTCATGGTGGACAAGGTGATGCTAGCTGATGGCGGGAGGCCTCAGTTCCTCATAAGTGGACTTCTCACTAGGGTTGCTTGAGCGTCCTCAAAATATGGCATCTGGCTTACCTCAGAGAAAATCTCTTAGTCCATTTTGTGTTGCTATAAAGGAATAACCGAGGCTGGGTAATTTATAAACAAAAGATGATTTTTTGGCACACAGCTTTGAAGGCTGCACAAGAAGCATGGTGCAGTATCCACTCAGCTGCTGGTGAGGGCTTTGATGTTACATCAAAACATGGCAGAGAAGGTCAAAGGGAAAGTGGGAACGTGCAAAGAGAACCCAAACCCAAGGAGCATCCTGGCTTTAAAAATACCCACTCTCTTATAAATGAATCCATTCCCAAGAGAACTAATCCAGTCTCACCAGAGCATAAACTCAGTCACCACTGCAAGAACAGTATCAAGCCATTCACGAGGAATCCCTCCTCGTGATCCAAATATCTCCCCCTAAGCCCCACCTCCAACACCGCTACAATGGGGACCAAATTTCAACATGAGATGTGGTGGGGATGAACTAGATCCAAACCATAGTAGCATGTGACCCAAGGGAGGGCAGGTTGAAGCCACAGTGTCTTTTGTGACTCAGGATCAGCAGGTACCAAGATAATTTCCACAATATCCTATTGGTGACCCAGATCAGCCCTACTCTGTGTGGGAAGGGACTTCATGAGGACATGGATACCAGAAGATGGTATTATTGAGGGACATCTTTGAGGGTGGCCACCAGAGTCAGTGAATGGCCAGGTGCAGTGTCTGAAACCTATAATCCCAGCACTTTGGGAGGCTGAGGCAGGAGGATTGCTTGAGGCTAAGAGTTTGAAATGAGCCTGGGCAACAGAGTGAGACCTGATATCTACCAAAAAATAGAAAAACTAGCAGGAAATGGTGGCTTGCACCCGTAGTCTCAGCTGCTCCAGGAGGCTGAGGTGGGAAGATTGCTTAAGCTTGAGAGTTCAAGACCTGTCTGGGTAACATAGTGAGACCCTGTCTCTACAAAGAATAAAAATTTTAAAAGACACACAAATGATGTTCATGGTGCTCACTATCTATTGGACCATCGTGACATTTTAACATTAAGGAAATGAAAGGCCACAGATAATGAACAATTCACAATTGATTCAAGGTCCATATGTAAGAGTGTAAGAGTGGAGAAGTGAAGCTGCCCCCACCTGATACCCTAACAAGCATTCCCCATCTTCCCCACCACTGGGCAGCCAGGCTTCTGGAGCGAAGCGAGCCACTGCGATTGCAGCTTGGCAGGATCCAGCACCCAAGACTTGGCCAACCTCCAGCAAGCTCACCCCTCCTGCCCTCTCCTTGGATCATTTATTCCAGGAGCCCTGCTATAAATATCCACTTAGTGAAATGCCTTGCTCCTCGGGCACCCTCTTCCCTGCTCCCTGGCCACCTGCACCCTGCTCAAGCAATGCCAACTTGCAATCAGTCTGCAATCTGAGTCTGCTTTGCACACCCAGCACCAACTGGCTGCCCAGGCTAGTCTGCGGGAGCATGCTGGCATGCCCCCAAGGTTGCTATTGTAAGTTAATGGCACAGCAATTGGTTGTTAAAAACACTAATTGACATTAAATAGGTGATGTTATCCAATAACTTACAGGCTGCTCCAATTCTATATTTTCTTCTTTTCTTTCTCCATTCCTTCTAATGCCCTGCAGTACCCACAGAGGTCAGGAGTCACCTGGACATAGGCAAGAGCTTAGGGCCAGAGGACAAGTACACTCCAATTGTCACTGCCTCCCATCCACAGCACAGATAAGCCCAAGACTGATGGCCTGGCAAGAAAAGCAGGGCTGGGGCTGGACTCAGCTTTCCCCTTCTGGGCTTCCTTAAGTGTCTCTAACCTGAGGATCCAGGTGGTTCTGGGAGAGTCAAAGATGGAAAGGTTGGGAGTTCTGTCTTCTATGTGCAAGTTAGGATTCAAGCTGTGTTTGCTCTCTGTGCAATGCATCACTGAAAAGAAACCATTGTATTTCTTTAGCACTGGGTGCTACCTAAAGTCATTTTTTACTTTTCATGCTTTCTCTGCTTAATGGCTAATAATAAGTAATTGCTTATAATTATTGAATATAATTGATGGAAGTCAGATACTGAGCTAAGCCCTTGTATTCATTATTTATTCCAGGGGATCTTTCTACCTGTTGCAACCACAAACCTCAGGCTCAGAGAGGGGATGTTACTTGCCCAAGGATACACAGCCAGGAAGCCCAGAGCAGAGGTTTGCATGCAGGCAGCCAGCTTCCCAGTCCAAGACCTTCTCCCCTGAACCACACTGAGAGGTGGTGGCAACCCAAGGACATCCCTGTGGTGGGAATGGTGGAAGACCACCGTGTTCATTTTCGTTCATGTCCTTCCAGGACTGAATGAAGGAAAACCTTATACCCTCTTACTATGGAACTCAAGTCTTGCTCCTCAAGGAAGACAAGTACTTTTCTCTCCAGATCCATCTTTTTCTTTGCTCCAGGTTCAGGGACTTGGAGGTTTGGCATTCACCGCACCACAATGCAAAGCCAGGGTGGCTTCTGGAGAAGTCAGATGTTAAGGGACTTTAAGACAAACCCCAATGGAGTTTGAGAAGGAAGACCCAAATGTGTAGTTTTCTTGGTTCAGTCTACAGCTTCCACAACCCATCTGCTGGTTCCAGGTTTGAGAAAAACTCTCAAGAGTCAGAGTCAGGGTCAGCATCAAGGGAAAGAGACCTTGTAAAGGTACCAACAGCACCTTGTCCCAGACATCATGCACTTACTCTATGCATAATGTCAGGAACTCTACATGGTTTACTTCTGGCTCTCTCAGCAATCCTGCAAGGGAGGCCGTATCATACCTATTTTATACATGAGAAAGCTGAGCCTCAGAAACGACTAGTTCCATGGCTTCACGATGGGTACCACCAAGGGTTTGGTGAGGGAATTGGGGGATGGGGGCAGTGCCAGGCCAACAGGTCCCCCATCCACTCTTCAGTCTGAGCAATGCCCATAAACTCGACTGACCTTTTTGGACAAAAGCTTGCGTGGTAAAAATTTAAAGATTAGAAAGCTCACTCTGATTAAAACCATAAGTCTGTAACTCCATCCCAGGGCAGGGAATGGCTACCTTGTTCGGGTTAGATTACCAGTGCCCACCAAATAACAAATACTCATCGAACATTAAGTCACCTAGAAATGCCAGATCTTTCATTTATATTATTTCATCTGCCAGTGACCCAAGAAGCCATCTCTTATAGCCCCCAGTTTGCAGAGGCTGAACCTCAGAGAGATGGAGTTCTTACTAAAGGTCATAGAGTTATTAGCAAGTAACAGAGTCAGAGAAAGTCTATTCAAGGCCATGAGCGATAGGCCAAATCATGGCCCTCCAAAAATGTCTGCATCCTCATCCAGGCAACATGTGCATACACTAGGTCATATGGCGAAAGAGATTTTGCAGATATGATTAAGTCAAGGATCTTAAAATGGGGCAATTACCCTGGATTATCCCCATGAAATTGCAAGGGTCCATCAAAAAGTCAGAGAAGGAGGTGTGACCATAAAACCAGAGAGAGAGGTGAGGATGCTGCGCTGCTGGCCTTGAAGGTGGAGGACGGGGCCACAAGCAGAGGCATGCAGGCTGCCTCTAGAAACTGGAAAAGGCAAGGAATGGATTCTCCTCTAGAGCTTCCAGAAGGAAAGCGGCCCTGCTGACACCTTGGTTTTAACCCAGTGACACCCATTTTAGACTTCTGTCCTCTAGAACCGCAAGATAATCATTGCATGTTGCTTTGAGCCACTAAATTTGTAGAAAATTGTTATTAATAACAGCAGCCACAGGAAATTAACGCACCAGGTCACACTCTTAACAGCCCGAAGTGCAATGCCCCTGCTTGCATTTTATTGGCACTGAGTCATTTAAAACCCTGGAGCACCAGACAAGTTCTTTTTTCCCTGCTAGAGCAAGATACTAGAAGGCATCCTCAATATCCATCACCTCCATTGAGAGGTGGGGTTAAGTGGCGTCAGTAGCTTTGGATGTAGGAACAGCTGGGGTAAGAAAAGTAATAATCCACATTTCAGCCTTGTCAGCAGGACTGCTTCTATCCCCAGTCTCAGTGTCCAAGGAGTAGATGGAAGGGAGAATTCCACGTTGTCACAGTTGCCTCCACGGGATTACTCCGAGGCTACCTGGGGTCTTTGCCCACCACCTCAGAGTCCCCAGACGGAGAGGCGCCTTGCCACCCTGTCATCTGGGTCCCCTGGTGAATGGAGCCTGGCGTCAGGCCTTAATGGGGTAATGAGTTGGAGGCGTCGGAAACAATGAGTTCAGCTTGTTAAAAGGACAGGGCTGGCACCATGAGGACAGAGGGACCACAGCTGGAGACAGAGAAATGGGTCTTTGGGGGCCTGGTGGTGCCTCTGTGGGCCCCAAGGGGGCTGGGTGGCTGGGCTACCACTGGCCCTGTGCCTCTTAAAACCCATTACTTGCTGCCTTTGGCTTGGGAGCTGGGAGCTGAGCGTTTCATCAGTGCAGATTGGACCCAGCGGATCAATGGCTCAGTCTATGGGCTTTTCCTCCCCCTCCCCTCTGCCTGTCCCCCTTCCTTAACTAGATGTGGGCGCCAGACCCACAACAGGTCCTCAGGAGTTGTCAGTCAAGGGCTATGAAATATTCATCTTCTTTAATCTTCTTCAGGGACCTGCCCAGAGCCCTGATGGGGGCAGAGTAGTCTTGATAAACTTGTAAAGACTGGAGAGAGGGGAGGGGAGGGAAGGGAAAAAGAGGGGAGGGAGCTGAGGGCAGAGATACGGCAGAAGTCCACTGAAAAGCAGCCAGGGCCCCTCTTCCTGATGCTTTCTCCAAAGACACGCATTCAACCAGCATTTCTGGAGCACCCACTGAGCACCCACAGTTGCTGAACGCATTTGCATCCGTGATCTTGGTGCTCCCAAACCTTGGCTGGCGATGCATCTACCTTTCCATTTTCACAATATTCATGTATCACCTGAAATATCAGTATTTTTTTCTTTAGCCTCACATTAAGTAATAACATCAGTGAAATCACAGTGCTGGTTATATATTTTTGAAAAAATACATTTATATATTGTAAATAATATACAAATATGATAAACCTAGAAATGTATGTATAAAATGCATTCGGTTTTTAAAAATTGCCTAGATACAGGTTCCGTCCTGGAGCACATATCTTAATTACTCTTCACAACATCTCCAAGAAGAAGGCATTATTGCTTCCAATTACAGAGAGGAAACTGTGGCTCAGAGAGTTG
Source organism: Homo sapiens (assembly GCF_000001405.40). NCBI lineage: Eukaryota > Metazoa > Chordata > Mammalia > Primates > Hominidae > Homo > Homo sapiens. Next base: position 115,615,560 of record NC_000012.12, read on the forward strand.
CAGTGACTTGCCAAGGTCACACAGCAAGTAAGGGACCCATCCTGAGTTCAAACCCAGGTATTTAAACTATAAACACAAAAATAGCTTTCTGAAAAAAAAATCACTAGTTTTCAGGACATTTAGGTAAAACTTATTAACTAGAACTTCTACCTTCTGCTTTGCACTTTTTAGTAAATTGCGACCCTTTGTTTTGATGTGAAATTATACAGCTTTTTAAAATGTGTGTGTGTGTGTGTGTGTGTGTGTGTGTGTGTGTGTGTGTGTGTGTGTGAAACAGTGTCTGTCACCAGGCTGGAATGCAATAGCTCACTGCAACCTCGACCTCCTAGGTTCAAGGGATCCTCCCATCTCAGCCTCCTGAGTAGCTAAGACTCCAAGTGATGCCCCCATGCCCAGCTAATTTTTAACGTATTTTTCATAGAGACAGGTTCTCACCACATTACCCAGGCTAGTCTCGAACTCCTGGGCTCAAGTGATCCTCCTGCTTCGGCCTCCCAACACGCTGGGATTACAGATATGAGCCACCACACTTGGCCTCATGCAGGTTTTGATTGGAGAAGCCCTTTCTATGTCAATATCCTGCAGAGTTTCAGGAAGTGAAAAGTCTCAATGACTATTTCTAAGCGAGTACACAAGCAGCCAAGAAACCTGGGACACTCAAATTCTTTGTTCCCCCCTACCACACCCCATCATTGGCTTGATCATCCAGTTCTGCACAGTGTAATCCCCCTAGCATTCCCTCTGCAGTTTGACCATCGCGCCTCACTCTCCACGGTCTAAGCCAAAGCTCTCTGTCTCACCTGGGCACCTGCAGCAGCCTCTTGAACCTGACCCAGCTTCCTTATCTAGACGTGAGCACCAGGCCCATCACAGGTGCAGCATTCTCTCTGTGCATTCTCCCCATGATGGCCAGAGTGACTTCTAAATGTAAGCCGAGTCACAGCACCCTTCAACTCAAAGCATTCAAATAGGGTCCCATCCCATTTAGAATGAAATCTGAACTCCTGCCTGGGTCTAGGGCAGCAGCCCTGTCCTCCCCACTGACATCACCTCTTGACTCCCGGCACCCCTATCCCTCATTGACCTTGCGGGAGACCCACTCTACTTCCATCAAACACTGCAGGCCCCACTCCTGCTCTGGGACCCTGCACTAACCCTTCCCTCTGTCTGGAAGGCATTTCCCCGAGACTGTCCCACCACCAGCTCGCTAGTCTTCCCTCTGAATACCCTAATCCCGAAACTCCTCCCCAACCTGGTATCAGATAATGTACCACACCAGGCTTTATCTGAGAGTCAGGAGAGGAAATTCCAATGACTGTTTTTTCCACTGACCTTGGGCAATTTTTTTTTTTTTTTTTTTTTTTTTGAGATGGAGTCTTGCTCTGTCCTCCAGGCTGGAGTGCAGTGGCATGATCTTGGCTCACTGCAACCTCCACCTCCCGGGTTCCAGCGATTCTCCCGCCTCAGCCTCCTGAGTAGCTGGAATTACAGATGCGCGCCACTACACCTGGCTAATTTTTGTATTTTTAGTAGAAACGGGGTTTCACCATATTGGCCAAGCTGGTCTCAAACTCCTGACCTAGTGATCCGCCCGCCTGGGCCTCCCTAAGTTCTGGGATTACAGGTGTGAGCCACTGCACCAGGCCTGACCTTGGGCATTCTTTTTGTCCTTGGTTCTCAGTTTCCTCCCCTTTAAAAGGAGGTGATTGAACCTCCATAAGTTCAATGAATTAGTCCGAATTCTCCAGGAAGCAGACTAAGACAGGATTAAACATTCAGGGGTTTTATTAGAGGAAGTGCCAATGAGAAGGAAAATAAAGAGGAAGCCTGACCAGGCTGGAAGAGTTATCAGACCTTGAGTGAAGGGGAGAGGGGAACAGAAGGTTTGGGGGGAGAGTCTTAACACAAGGACAATGATGATGGGGCATTCTCACACCCAGGTCAGCCATGCAGGGAGGCCCGGGTCTCTAGGAATCGGCAGGCCCGCCTTAGAGCCCCTACGCGTACACTCATTGGCTGGGAGCTTCCCTGGAGGCGTGGCCTTGGCTCAGCCCTGTAGCTGGGGCTAAGGTAGGTGCATCACTTATGGTCTCCAGAAGGGGGTCCACAAGGTGTGCACTGGTGGCCTCCACTGTCCCAGATGGTCCCATGGAAACAGTAACCTTAAGGCGCACTACAAATTATTGCTCTGTGTCACCTTCTTCCTCTGTAAAACAAGGATAACAATGCTAAATGGCCTGCCTCCCATACCCGTGAGGCTTGAATCCAGGTACTGCATTATAAAGACAAGGTGTTACGCTTGCCAGGACGTGAGCCCCCTTGGTGCAGGGATAGTTTTTTAGTCTTTGCCTCTCCACAAGAGCAGGACGAATTGCAGGCTACTGAGAGATAGGACAGCACGTTGTTCTCCATAGCGGGACAAATGCAGGCTACTCAGAGAGGAAGGAGAGCATGGTGGTTAAGAATCCAACCTGCCGTGTGCATTGCTGCTGGGAATGTAAAAAGGTGCAGCCGCTGAGGAAACCAGTGTGGAGGTTCCTCAAAAACTTAAACATGGAATTATCACTTGACCCAATAATTACTTTTAGCTAAACACCCCAAAGAAGAGAATGTAGGGATTCGAACAGATACTTGTACAGAAATGTTTGTAGCGGCATGATTCACAATAGCCAAAAGGTGGAAACAGCCCATATGTTCATCAACCGATGCATGGATGAACAAAACGTGGTCTATACACACAATGGAATATTATGCAGCCTTGAAAAGGAAAGAAATTCTGATATATGTTATAACACGGATAAACCTTGAGGAGGTAATGCTAAGTGAAATAAGCCAGGCACACAATGATGAAGACTGTATGATTCCACTTATAAGAGGTCCCTTATAAATTCAGAGAGACAGAAAGTAGAATGGTCGTTACCAGGGAATAGGGGCGAGGGGAATGGGAAGTGCGTGTTTAATGGATACAGAGTTTCAATTTGGGGTGATGAAAAAGTTCTGGAGATGGATAGCGGCACCTGGAGGGGCACAGCAATGTGAATGCACTTCATGTCACTGAACTGTACACTTAAGATATTTAAAATAGAAAATCTTACGTTATGTCAGTTTTACCACAATTTAAAAAAAAAATACAGAATGAGGCCCTCAGAGTCAGCCCACCTAACTCAAATCTCAACCTTACCATTTCACACAGGAGTCAACCAAGGCAGGTGGCTGCTCCTCACCGTGCCTCCATTTCCCCATCTGTAAAAGGCGGGGAGTGATATCCTGGGTCATAAATGAGATGATGTCTACGGAATGCTTAGCGGACCATTCCAGGTGTCAGTGTGCAATCAATAAATGTGTTCCATGATGCTAATCAGGAGTGGGGAGGACCACATGGGTGGTCCCAGGTGTTCAGGTGGCCTTGCATTGTAGTGGACTGCAAATGCTCTCTAACCCTTCCAACCACAGTGATTGACATTCTTCCCCACAACTACACAGACAGCTCCTGGTAAGTGGAAATTTTCCAACTGTTGGAGAGTCCCTTCCCCAGAACTCCAAGAAAATAAGGTCTGGCCTGGCCACACGTGGCATGTCTGCCCCCGGGGCTGGGCTGAGAGGTCAGCCTGACCTCATGTGATTGCTCCCTGCCACTTCCTCCCCGCCTGCCAGCCCCCCACCCACTAACCCTTTACAGATCTCTGGAATAAGTGAGGCTCTGTTAGGCCAAGACCTCCAGGTGCCGCCACCCCAACTGCTGAGTCTGCCAGCCCTCCAGGCAGGTGGGCCTGAGTGCTGGTAAGCGCCAGCACTTCCTCCAGCCTTGATGGGGTCAGGGATGGCAGCTAATTGGAGGATGCTGAGCTGATGCCTGTCTCCGGCTTCCTGCCACCTTGCCTGGGGAGGTCATTCACTGTGGGCAATATCCCTCCACCACCTACCCCCAGCAGCTGCAATGCAGACAGGAGTTTATTACTCAATGCAAGTGCTGCAAGTGCTCCCCCAGCACATGGCGTCCTGTCCCATCCTTGCCATTGCACTCTAGCTCCTTAATGATCTCCAAATCTCTCATGCTAAACCTGTAATAATAGACTCCAACTTTTCAGTACCTAGTCTGTGCCAATTACTTTAAATACTAGCTGCTATAACAAGCAATCCCCCAACTCAGTAGCTTATCTATGGGGCAGCAAGGATGTGCTCTACTTCCTCAGGGACCCAGGCTCCTTCTCACTCGAGTCTTTGCCATCCTCCAGGGCAGCAGTTCTCAGACTTGGGCATGCATCGAAAACCCCCGGAGGGCTGGTTAAAGCACAGATTGCAGGGCCCCACTCACCCCTAGAGTTTCTGATTCAGTAGTTCTTGGGCTGGAACATAGAATTTGCATTTCTGACATGTACCTGGGAGATGCTGCTGATCCAGGGGGCCACATTTTGAGAATCAGGGCTCTAGGTCATTATATCCCTGGATATTTGCATCTAGCTGATAGGGGAGGGAAGCAAGGGCATGGAGAATTATGTAGGAGTTTGTTAAGAGGCAGGCCCACCTTCCATTGGCCAGAACTCCATCACACGACCCTCACTTAACTGCAAGCGAGGCTGGGAAATGTAGTCTATATGTGTACCTGGGAAAAGAGGAGAACCAAGGCTACTGTGAGCCCTATGGCACCCACTGCCATGAACACTTTCAAATAATCCTCGTGACACCTAATAAGAGAAGCAGCATTTTTACCCACACTTGACATAAGGGAAAACAAGGTCAGAGAGATTATGTTGCCTGCCCAAGACCACAGGGCTAGTGGAAGGCAGAGCTGGAGTTCGAACCCAGGTCTACCTGATTCTAAGACTTAAACAGGAAGCACACAAGTCTGGGCACAAGTCTTTACTATGTGCCATGATGATGCTTGGTCCACACTTTTGCATCTCTTTTCAGTGCTCACATAAACCCCATGAGCTCAGCAGTGTGTCCACACTTTACAGATGTGCAAACCGAGACTCCAAGAGAGGAAATGGCTGTGTGTGGTCACAAAGCTGGCCGGTATGAGGCAGACCCAGATCACACCGTTATGCAGCACGGCAAGCAGCAGGTAGGGCCTGGCCTGCAGGGTGAGTGGGCTGCCAGGATGAAAGATTTGAGAGGCTCCAGGACTTGATATCCAGGAGGTGGCAGATGATGGAGGAACTAACCCCAGGGAATACGGAAAGTCACTCCCCGTCTGGGCGTGTTCGCTGGAGGGAGGGGGCCTTAAGTAGGAACCAGAGTGAGGGTGTCTATGATCCCAAGGAGGCCAGGCTGGGGCTCATGGGGAAGCAGAAAAGGAAGCCTGGAGAGAAGATGAGTCCTGACCGTGGTTATGAGGAATGTGGCTGGTTTTAGCAGATTCAGTAAAAGTAGAAATTTGCAAAGTATGTGTGATGATTGCCATGATGCAGATGGGGAAACCAAGGCTTAGCAAAGCAAGTTTTTGGCCAAGGTTGCACAATCGTGAGCTGCAGCATCTGCCTGCAGCCCCAGCTCTCAGTTCAGCAGCTTCATCCTTGCTGACTGGGCAACTGTTTCCCACCGTTCCTTCACAGCAGGCTTGCCAAGTTGGCACCTGACAGTCAACAGCAGCATTCAGCCAGTCAGACAGAGAGACAGGCCTGAGCTCACATCTGGCTCTGCTACCTCCTCGCCCTGCAGATATTGACATGTGACTTAAATCTGAGTCTCAGTTGCCTCATCTGTAAAATGGGGTTTAATACTAGTGCCCACTTCAGAAGAAAAATAAAATAAGTAACTTAATGAGCTCATGCCTTCAGCAGTTCTTTCAACTGTCATTTGTTGAGTCCCTACTATGCGCCAGCACTATTCTAGGTTTGGAACTAAGCTAAGTCCCCACCCTCTTGGAGCTTACAGAAACAGACATCAAACAAAATAAGTAAGTCAATATCTAGGATGTTCATTGAGGCATGGTGGGGCGCCAAAACAAAATAGGGTTAAGGGGGTCCTGACTTTGATGGAGTTTGGGTGTTTCTTTGTTACAGGTGGTCAGGGCAGGATGAGGAAGGGATACAGAGGCTGAAGACGGACGAGAGACAGTGAGAAAGCAATGGCATTTCTGAGTGGCAGCAACAGCTCTCTAGAGGGGATTGGGCAGGAATTCAAAGTAAGAGAATCAGCACAGTAGAGGGCTGTGGTGTCACTCAGGGTTCTCCAGAGAAACAGAATCAAGAGGAGATTTATTTTAAGGATTTGATTCACCAATTGTGGTGGCTGGCAAAGTCCAAAGTCCACAGGGCAGGCTGGGACTCAGGCAGGAGCTGATGCCCCGGTCTTGAAGCAGAATTTCTTCTTCTACTCCAGAAACCTGTTCTCGCTCTTATAGCCTTCAACTGATTGGATGAGGTCCACCCAGATTACTGAGGAGTCTCCTTTACTTCAAGTCAGCTGATTGTCAATGCTCACCACATATCATAGCAACAACTACATACATGTGCTGTTGAATATCTGGGTGCTATAGCCTAGCAGGTCGGTGCAGCGAACTCACCATCATGGTGGTCCCCCAGCAATTTGCAGCCCCAGAAAAGGACAGAGGAGTGAGGAAGGTCAGATGGGTTAGGTTTTCTCCAGGCACTCTAAGGGAGGAAGGGAGGGCAAGCACAGCAAAAGTATAAGCAAGGAGACTCCAACTTCTGGGTCTTAGAAATGGTGGGTTGAGGTGGAAAGAGAAGAAGTGAAAGATAGGAAGAAACCAAGACACTAGAATCCCCTGTGAGGTCAGGAATTGTGGGAGGTGGCATTTCAGAGAGGGTGTGCTGGAAAGATGGTGGTCATCAGACTTCAGGATTAACAGGGTTGCAGTTTTGGTGGCAACAGGATTTGGGCATAAGAGAGGTAGAGACCCTGGCCTCTGAGAAATCACAGTAAGCACTTTGTGCAGCTCGCATTGCTGTGTGACCTCAGACAAGCTGCTTTTCCTCTCTGGGCCTCAGTTTCTCCATTCTGTGAATGGGAGGATGGCCAAGCCACTACAGTCTGGCATGGCATCAGACAAAAAACACGTCATCTAGAGCTGTGTTATCCACTAGTGGAATCACCAGCTTAGGTGGCTATAGAGTGCTTGAAATGAGTTGGACTGAACTGAGATGCCCTGTAAGTGTAAAACATACCAGATTTCAAAGACTTGGTACACACACACACACACACACACACACACACACACACACACACAGAGAGAGAATGTAGGATATCCCATTAATACTTTTATATTGATTATATGGTAGTCTGGGTGCACATATGATAATAAGTGGCCTGTAATCTCAGCACTTTGGGAGGCTAAGGCAGGAGGATTGCTTGAGCCCAGGAGTTTGAGACCAGCTAGGGCAACATAGTAAGACCCCATCTCTACAAAAAATAAAAAATCAGCCAGGCATAGAGGCAGGTGCCTGTAGTCTCAGCTACTTGGGAGGCTGAGGCAAGAGGATTGCTTGAGCCTGGGAGGTTGAGGCTGCAGTGAGCTGGAGTCACACCACTGCACTCCAGCCTGGGCAACAGAGTGAGACCCTGTCTCAAAAAATAAAAATAAGTAAAAAATTAATACTTCGTATATACTGGGTTAAATTGATTATATTATTAAAGCACATTTTAGTTTTTTTTTTTAAACTTTGCTTTTAAATATGGCTACTAGAAAATTAAAAATTGTGCAGGAGGTTCACATTATATTTCTAAGCAACAGCACTGTTCTAGAACAGGGGTTTGTAAACTGCAGCCCTTGGGCCAAATTTGACACGCTGCCTATTTTTATATAACCTATGAGCTACAAATAGTTTGAATATTTTAAAGGCTTGAGAAACAAATCAAAAAAGAAAACTATTTTATGGCATGTGAAAATGATATGAAATTTAAAATTCAGTGTCCACAAATAAAGTTTTATTGGAACACAGCCTGGCCCATTCAATGCACGTTGTCTGTGGCTGCTTTCGTATTGAATCAGCAGAGTTGAGAAGTTGGGACAGTGTGGCCAGCAAAGCTGAAAATATTGACTCTCTGGACCTTTAGAGGAAAAAGTTTGCTGACTTCTGTTCAAAGCGTTATTTATCCACCTATACTGTGCTTCCGGCCCTGGTGTAGAACATACACAATGCAGATTCCTTAGCTCCAGCCTCCAGGTGTGGGTTTGGTTCAATGAATCTGCATTTTGTTAAGTAGCTGAGAGCATTGTTCAGATCCCTACTCTGCTCCAAGCCAGGTGCTAAGCCTTTATGAGCATCACTTCATGTAATCCTGGTGAGTCAGACACTGGAAAATCCCCATTGTACAGAGGAGGAAACTGAGGCTCAAAGAGGTGAGAGGCTTGACCTCACACCCAACGCAGGAGGTGCGTGGTGATCCCCTCTGCTGTTGTGCAGAGGAATGTGCCCACCCATCTCCTCTGACGCCTGGGCCTTTGTGCTGGGCCGGAATGTCTTCCTGCCTTTCTCTAGTTGTGTTTTCCCCGGATCCTGTGGGCTGAGCTTTATCCCAGGGGGCTGCCTCCAGAAGGGCTGTGTGTGGCGTCCCGGCGAGGAGGAGGAGGGGGCAGAGCCGCGGGCTCCAGGCCAAGCTGTGATTTAATAAGCAGACACTTAGGGCCCTGATGCTGGGCCCAGCCCGTTTGGGACAGCCCTCTCCGCTAATTGTCCATTGGCTGCCGCCGTCCTGCCGGCATCTCCCGGCTCATTAGGAAAGGGAAGGGGGGTAATCTGGGAAGAGCCTCCTTGAGCTCCAACGGCTGCAGAGATTTTTATCACACTAGACAGCACAGTTGCGTTCATTCCTCCCAAGGAGGATCAAAACAAGGCTGGTCCAGTCCTGGGAGTCACACTCCAGCTGTGGCTTAGAAAGGACACAGGATTTGAGTTCAAATCCCACCTGTCACTGTTGAGCTGTGTGATTTGAGCAATTGACCAAACTTCTCTGTGTCTTAGTTTCCTCATCTCTAAAATGCAAATAATAATATGCAAATAAAAACCTCATCTCTACAATGCAAATAATATAAAAGGCAAATAGCCCTAACAGGGTTGCTGTAGGGGTTAAGTTACTACAGTCAGTGCCATATGCATTTGCTTCTCCTATTGCTTCAAAGTGTCATCAGACTGAGAAAAAAGGCAGAACATGGAAAAGGGCTTGACCTGTGTCAAGGAGCTCAATAAAGGGGGTTAGTTTGAGTTATTGCCATTTCTTTGGGGGTTGTTAGAAGATGTAGGAGAGCCTAGCTGGCTGCTCCCCAAAAACCTACTTAGCTTCCTTCCCCTTGGCACCCAACAAGATCACATTTCCCAGCCTCCTTTGAAGTTAGGGGAGACCATGAGTGTGAATTCTGGGCAATGAACTTGGGCAGCCTTGAGGTGTGCCACTTCCAAGCCCAGCTGCCCTAACAACAGCGTCTTTCTCAGGAGCTCCATGCTCTTTTCACAATCCCCATTTGCCATCTGGATTGAGAAGATGCTAAAGAATAAAAGGAAGCAGAGCCCAGTATGGAAGGCACCTGGGACCCTGAAAGACTGCATGGAGCAGGGTCTTCCCCACCCCTGCTCTGCCACCAAGCAAGCAACAAACTTGTTTTGAGTTAAGCCATGGACATTTTGAAGATTTTTGTTGTGGTGGTGGTTTTAGCAACTAGTCTATCCTGAGTAATAGAGAGGACAAAATTGTCCCAGAGTGAGAAGAAGAACAAATCGTTAGTTTCTGTAGACAGCCATTGTCATATTCTAGGAAACCAGAAACCATGTCAGAAGACACTCAAACAGCCCTGTGGAGAGGCCCATGTAGTGAGCAACTGAGGTCTCCTGCCAACAGCCATGGGAGTAAGCTTGGAAACAGATGCTTCAGCCTCAGTCAAGCCTTCAGATGAGATCACAGTCCTGGCCGACATCTTGACTGCAACTTCATGAGAGAACCTGCCAGATCCACCCAACTACTCCTTATCTGAAACCCTACCCCACTGTAAAATAGTAGGTATTTGTTGCTTTAAGTCACTAAGTTTTGGGATGACATGTTATGCAAAAGTAGATAACCGATACACTGCATTGTGGAGCAGGTTCCCACAGTGGCCAACTGGAAACTGAATCCTTTGGAGAACTCTGAAAGGCTGCATAGAACATGCTTTAAAGTTACGTTCCCTGAGTGGGGAAGAAGACAAGTATTTATTCTCTAACACCCATCCACTGTTGATAAAGGACTGCTCCTGGGGTGTTGATTCCCCAGCATTTCTACCCTGCCCTTCACTGAGTCCAAGAGAAAGCCCTCAGATGGAGAGTCTCAGGTGTTTGCATTGGCACCATAGGCATGTACTTGACAAGTGCAAAGAGAATATTGGTGAGGTATAGCAAGATCTGATACAGTATCATGTGTCCCAGATTTTCCAGATGAAATCAAATTCCCAAATTTCTTCTTTTTCCATAAAGGTGAGGCACTAAAGCTGTATAAGTAAAGAGGCTTCTTTTATGTACCTTTTGAAGATGTTTCATTAAAAATAAACCAGCAAATGAGAAGAATCCAGGGCTGGGAAGAGTGGAAGGTTTTTTGTTTGCTAATTCTCTTAATAAACTTACTAAGTAGTGCCATAAAAGCAGAATACAAAATAGCACCTTATACTGACATTGAATGTGCCACAGTACAATTAAAAAAATGGGGCCTTGCAAAATGGCATTTTTATATTGCCTCATAAAATATCTAATATCGAACTTTGTAAATTACATCAATGCCTTTGAACAAACATTGAGTTCTTTTTAATAAATAAAACGTTCAAAATTATTTCCTGGAAGTGCATTTTAGACATTAATAACTGGCTTCAAATGAAATTCTGTTTCACAGCGATAAGCAAATTTAATTGCTGCAAACTAAAACAGTCTGTAAGGCTTACCTGCTCCAGAAAGGAAACAAAATATTGAGCTAATGTAACCATCAAGATATATAACCTGCTACTCTTTGAATAAACCAAATTCCATCCCTAAACACAGAGAGCTCAGAAATTCAGACCCAAGGACATAAATATAAGGTATTTCCTGGAATTAGTTTCATATGTTTTATATATTGCAGTTATCAATTGATCTGACACAATATCTGAGCCAGTTTAAAAATTACATATTGTGCATCAGAAAAATATACATTTTCATGACATCTGGTACCCTGTGTTATAAAAGTATATACTCATTTATTTTAACTAAAAAAAGCACTATTTCCACATCATTAAAAATAATAGTAAGTTCAGTAGTATAAATCTCCATTCCATTTCTTACACCAGAGGTCAGTAAACTCCAGCCTGAGAGGCCAAGTCCAGTCCACCACTTACTTTCATATGTCCACAATCTAAGATTGGTTTTACATTTTTAAATGGTGGGAGGAGTTCAAAAGAAGAAGAGTATTTGGTGATATGTAAAAATTATAGGAAATTCAAATTTGGGTGTCCATAGATAAAATTTGATTGGCACTCAGCCATGTCCATTTACTTACGTATCATCTATGGCTGCCTTCACACTACAATCACAAAGCTAAGTAGTTGTGACAAAGATCTTATGACCTGCAAAGCCTAAAATATTTACTATCTGGTCCTTCACAGAAAAAGTTTGTTGACCTTTACTCCACACCACCCCTATCTCCTCTCTAAGGAGTTAGGAACTCTCTAAGGGAAGCTGTTAGGAACTCAAAATACTTAAAAGGGTAAACAGCAGTATTGGTTTTAGCCACCATTTACTACCTCAGGGTCTCCTTGAAGCCTGCAGTGGCCTAAGGAAGAAGATAGGAATGGCCATGGGATAAACTATATCCATGGAAACCCCCAACCTGAGTTATTTACAATCAGACAAGCATAATGTGTCTTTTCTTTCTCCCCAGAGTTGATGTGTCTGACTGAGCAAACTACATAAATTACTTTGACTATCAACTTCATTTAAGCCTCTGGAGATACAGATATCAACAAGCAGGAAGAATAAACATGGCATTAATAGGTAGGGTGGGAAGCTTGTACAATGCAAATCCTTTGGCCTTCACTGTTTATTACAATCAGATTTCTAAGCTTGATAGAGCTAGTTTGGCCCTAATTCACCTGAGATCACTTTTTGAAATGATGCTATTCAACTTTCTTTCAAAAAACTTTATTTTTTAAGTTAGAAAACCTCTTAGAGTTTATTATTGAAAATGTACAAGACAGCTGGGCGTGGTGGCTCATGCCTGTAATGCCAGCACTTTGGGAGGCCGAGGCAGGCAGATCACAAGGTCAGGAGATCGAGACCATCCTGGCTAACACAGTGAAAACCCATCTCTACTAAAAAAAAAAAAAAAATACAAAAAAATTAGCCAGGCATGGTGGTGGGCACCTGTAGTCCCAACTACTTGGGAGGCTGAGACAGAAGAATGGCGTGAACCCAGGAGGTAGAGCTTGCAGTGAGCCGAGATCGCGCCACTGTACTCCAGCCTGGGTGACAGAGCAAGACTCCGTCTCAAAAAAAAAAAAGAAAAAGAAGACATACAAGACAACACAGATAGATTAAAATTACACTTGTTCCCCGAGAGAGTACTGCTAATATTTTGTTGTCTTGTCTTCTAGGTACCCGAGATTGGGTAACTTATAAACAAGAGATGTTTATTTGAGTCAAAGTTCTGGAGGCTGGAAAATCCCAAATCAAGGGACACATCCAGTGGGGACTTCTTGCTGCATCATAACATGGTAGAGGACATCACATGGTAAGGGATTGTGTGCTTGACAGAGAGAGAGAAAATGGGGACCAGATTATTATTTTGCCAGGAGCCCACTCACTCGATAACTAACGCACTCCATTGATAACAGTATTAACTCATTCGGGTGGAGTCCTTATGACCTAATCGTCTCTTAAAGTCCCTACCTCCCAAACCATTACCTTGGCAATTACACTTCAGCATGAGTTTTGGAGAAGACATTCAAACTACAGCAGTATCTTTTCATGCATTCATGTGCTTTCTAACCTGACATGGACACTCTATGTCAATTAGCACTACAGCATTTCACAAATGCCTGCATATAGAACCCTTTAATTTAATTATTCCCCTATTCAGACATTTTAGTTGTTTTCATTTTTTAATCATAAATAATGCATGAATGAACATCTTTAGAGCTAAATTGGCTCTTAGACACATCCATGAAGATTTTCTTAGAAAACATTTGGGAAAGTAATATTGCTGTCTCTAAGTGGACACATACTGTAAAGACTTTTTATATATGTTATAAACCTTCTTTTGGGTAAGGTTCTTTCTTCCAATATTACATGATGGTGGGTGTTTCACACACACACACACACACACACACACACACACTTATTCAACACATTTTCTGAGGACCTACTTTATGCCAAGCATTTTCTAGGTAATAGGAATGTAAGTAAAGGAATGTAGCAAAGAACCAGACAAATGTCTCTGCCATCACAAAGTTTATATCATGGTGGAAGAGAGAGACAATAAATACAGTATGTAGTATGTTAAATGGTAATAAATGCTAAAGAGGAAACACAGAGGAAAAAGAAGAGGCTTATGAGTTGTGGGGGTAGAAAAGGGGTGGGAATATCAAATGGGACCATCAGAGAAGATCTCACTGAGAAGAGGATATTTGTGCAAAGCCCTGAGGGAGTAAGGACTCTACAAGAATATCTGATGAAAGAGCATTCCAGACAGAAAGAACAGCAGGTGCAAAGTCCCCAAGGCAGGACCATGCCTGGAGGATTCAAGGGGCAACAAGGGTGCCCATGTGGCTGGAACAGAGAGAGACAGAAGTATGAGATGGGGTCAGAGATGATGGCAGGCCATAATAAAAACTAGGCTTTTACAGTGAGTGAGATGGGAATCATTGGGGGATTTGGAGCAAAAAGTGACACAATTTTATATTTTAACAAAATAAATCTGGCCTCTGTGTTGAAAATAGAACTTTAGGGCAACACAGGTGAGGGCAGAAAGGCTAGTTAGGAGGCTGCCGGAATAATCCAGGGGGGAAATGGCATGAGTTTCCCAGGTGATAGCAGTGGAAGAAGTTAGTGGTATATTCTAAAGACACATCACCTATAGATGCATAGATATGGATGGATGGATGGATGGATGGACAGGTGGATGGATAATGGATGGATGGATGATGGATGGATGGATGAATGAGTGCTGGATGGAGAATGGATGACTAGGATACGATAGCATATTGTAATGTATAACACATAAGTGAACATATCAAAATTTGAGGGAGGGCCAATGAGATTCTGCAGTTAGTCTAGAAAAGGTAGAAATAGCATATTCCTTTCCTCAGGAAATTTACCATTCTAGAGTGACTCCCCCAACAATCCTGAAGGCAGATATTATCATGCCCAATTTATAGAGGAGGAAACTGAGATTCAGAGAAGTTTCCACCCTCCCCTCCCCGGCCCCCCGCCGCAATGTCAAACAACTAGTAAGTGGCAACACCAATATTCCAAAATTCTATCTCACTCCAAATCTTCGGGGCAAATACTGTAACCTGAGAAATGGGAAACATGTCCCTTCACCCCAAAGAAACATACAGGGCAAAAGAAAGAAACATTTACAGAGGAGAAGAACTAAAAAAGAATCAAAAGTCGGCAGTTTGTTTATAAGTACAGGAGATGGAAGTGGGGGCAAGCAGTTCATAAAAAGTGTCAGCTGAGAGAGACGAATAAAGATCTTTCCGTCTAAGATGACCTGACATGAGTAGAGACTGCATCCGTAGGCGTCACGCTCTTTCTCCAAGGCTGCAGTTATTTATCTGCTTGAGCTCTTGTTTTTTCCCTTGCTTTAAAGTGAAATGCGCAAACACTCCCACTTCAAAGGGAAAAATCCTCATAAATGTCATTTTACTGCCGGCCTAGAAGAATAGCATCAACAGATCCTGAAAGCAGGGTGGGTGCAGGGACCCCAGGCATGTCTGTGACTAAGAAGGAAAATGGTCACTGGTTGCTGCGATAGCAGAGAAGCCAGCCTTGAATGAACTCAGCTGAGTACATGCCTATAGCAGCTAAGATCATGGCTAAGACCATGACACTGCCTTAGTTCAAATCCAAAATATGTCTCTTTTTAGTCAGACAAGTCCCTCGACAAAACTGGGCCTTGGTTTCTTCGTCTGTAAAATGGAGTGATTTCAAAGTTATTTTTAGGGTTTTAAAAAGTTCAATGTGATATACCTAGCACAGTGCCTGGCAAGTAAGTCTTCAGCAGATGTTAGCTGTTGTCTTTGGGTATCTCTCGCATGGACAGATCTGGGTCTGATTGTTATGGTGCTTCTTGTGGCAGAAAGTGAGTGGCGTCTTCTCATATATGTGGGCATTCAAGATGTGAATTATCAGGTAAGATGCAGGTACCCAGGTAAGAAATAGGAACTTGGAAAGCAGGCTGTAGAAACTGGGCCAACACTACTGACTAGAGACCCAAGAGTTATTCCTCCTCCCTTCTCCCTGGCTACCATCCGCTGTAGAGGCTAGAAAGCGAAACACGGTCAGCCTCCCTTGCAGCTATGGGACTAGTCCTGTTCAGGAAACAGAAATGAAAGCCGGCAAGGGAGAATTTTGGAAACATTATATATAATTTGATAAAAAGAGACAGCCTTAACCTGGACCTTCCCATTTTCCCTTTTCTTCTTTCCCCTCTGGCAATGCAGGAAGTAACCATCTTGTGGCCATGAGGGAGAGCCCAAGAGAATCCCAGGAGCTCTCAAAAGAATACTATTGGCTTACTGAGCCAATGCCAACAATCTACTGCATACTCACAAGGACTTCTGATATGTGGGTGATTTAAGCCTCTGTCATTAGGTTTTCCATGATTTGCAGTCATTTGCATTTTTAGCTAACACAAACACAAGAGGGAAAAGTCCTTCCTTTCCTTAGGCCCAGTTCCCCCGAATCTCAACTTCAAGCAGCCTAGATGTCATCAGGAATACCTCCAGCTTGTTGGAAAACGTTGGCTTCTGCTTCATCAATAGCCAGGAAATAGGCAGAAAGACACCCTAAAGACACTTCAAGCCAAAGAGGAATGTAACTTAGCTAGTGGGACAAATCATCTATTTCTTCTCAATGTCCTCTCAGTTTATTTCCCTTGTGCCATCCCAGAGCCTTTAGGGAGATGCTATTTGACATCCTGTCCTGGTCTCAGATTTGCTACAGGGAATTAGAAGGAGGGCTGCAAGTCTGCCTAGGTTAGATCATTGAATGGAGAATGAGGACTGGCCAAGGGAAATTGGTATCTTGGGGGAAAGAAAATCAGAGCTTTAAGATTTCCTCCCTTCTTTCACACTGTGGAGTCAAGACTGATTTTGTTCAGGGCCCAGGAAGTTCCTAACAGCTACAGCAGAGTTTTCCAAACAGTTTCCTTCTTCAAGTTCTCAGCTTAAAAAGGAAGTTCACAGATAATTGACACCTCAACCCTATTTACATTGCTTGTTCAATCGAGTTCATTCTCCCCAAAAACTAAAGCACATGTCTACATCAGATGAGTTTCTTAATGCTTATCCTACAGATAAAATACATTCTGCCATTACAGTCCTTAATCATTTATTCATGCATGTGTGGGCTGATTGATTGATGAACTGATTGATTCTTTAACATTTGTTGAGCACCTACTGTAGGCCAAATTCTGCATGGAATGGAATTTTAAGTATGACAAGTGGCACATGCCAGCCTTTGTATGGAAACAACATCCTGGGTTTCATCCACTTCCTATGATAAACCTTCTTCAAAACTCATCTAGGGAAACTTCCTCCCAATCTATACATTCCATAATTTACCACCTGGTTGATATTTTTATTGGTTTTGCTCCAAGAGAGCCTAGTTGCAGTTGTTCAAACAGTTTTGCTTAGTCAGCCTGCAAATGAATTTTTAAAAATATCTTGGCAAGTGTACAACTTGCATTGGAGAATTCTGCATGACTTTATTGTGCTTTTACAGAGGGTAGGAGTATATAGAATGGAATATATCACAAAACCTTTGTAGTAGTTTTGGAAGATGGGGGACAAATTGCTTTGCTCAGGACATATAACCACACTACCACCTGGTGGTAATGTTGTACCTGAAACCCTTGAATAAAGGTGGCCCTGAGCCCAAATTTTTGGTGAAATTTATGAATTGGAGAGAGATTTTTCATGTATGAAATTAAAAGGGCCAAGCATCCATGTAAAACCATATCTCAGAAATCTGATGAAAATTCAGATCAATACTTCCCAATTATCATCTTTAACTGCCATATTTATGGTGAATCATAACTGTTCTCAGAAGCAAAGTGCTTTTCATGTGCCTGACTTGAGATAACATTACTATTGCTTCCATTTCACAGCTGAGAAAACGGAGGCTCAAAGAGGCCATGGAACTGCCCAGGGTGTAGAGTTAGCAAAATAGGGAAGCCAGGACTCAAACCCACATTTTCTGATGCTGAAAAACACACTATGCATTTAGGAAGGGTATCATTATACTTTTGGGTGCTGTTTAAATTGAAAATCAATGCATGAATCAATGACATAACAGAGCACATTGGCATCAAGGCAAGTAAATAGAATAAAGAAAACAATAGGTAGTGTGTCTGTATCTGTGTTGACTGATTATACATAGGACAAATAGCCTTGTCTTAGGTTAGGCCAGATGCCCTAGAAGCAGAGCCTGGGACAAGGATTAGGTGCCAGTGATTTATTGAGTGCCCTTAAGAGAAACCTATATTGGTATGGAAGAAACAAGATAGAAAAGTGGAAGAAGTCAGGCAATGATGTGGTTTCAGGTAAAATCTAGCCTCATCCTGATCTGACCAGGAGCCCTGGGGTGTTAATGGCACTGCACACCTTGAGATGAGGAGACTTGACTTTTGTACCCCAGCATATGCCAGTCACTGACTATGGGCTGCCATGGAAGGGAATGTAAAACTCTCAGTTTCCTGCAGGCAAAGTGGCTCCAGTCACTCCAAAGCAATTCTCTGAAGAAGGGTTGGAGGTATGAGCAGTTAGCAGCACCCTACACAACAGCTGGGTGATGCAGACTCAGTTGCCAAAGAGGATCCCAGGGGATCAGGTAAGGCACCAACAGCATCCCTACAGATCCCCAAATCTGCAAAAGGGAGACACAACGAGATGACTGTCAGTGTAGCCTAATTTCTCCAGGAAACAGCCTATCCACACCACCAGGAAGAAAGGCCTCTGCCCTGTTTCTAAGCACTGTTCAATTCACACAATCTTTCCTAATAGGGTCAGAGAGAATATGATATTTCAGTTGGGAATGGAATTGAAAAAAATTATTCAGGTGGGTTCATAAGTAAGGGTGGGACAGGAATACAAATTGGAAATAATCACACGTCCAATTCTAGAAAAACGACTAGGTAAATTATAACACAGCCACATGGCAGAATATCATGCCTTCATTAACACTGAAGGTCATACTAAGAATTGGTGATTGTCACCTTTCATCTGGCTTATTTCCATCTGAACTCCTGGCTTCTATCTATGTCTCCTACAGCCTATGTATTAGTCAGGGTTCTCCAGAAGGACATAACTAATAGGATCTATGTATATATGAGACAGAGTTTATTAGGGAGAATTAACCCACACCATCACAAGGCGAAGTCCCATGATAGACTCTCTGTAAACTGGGGAAGAAATAAGCCAGTAGTAGCTCAGTCTGAGTCCAAAAGCCTCAAAAATAGAAAAGCCAACAGTGCAGACTTCAGTCTGTGGCCCAAGGCCCAAGAGCCCCCTGGCAAATCACTGATATAAATCCAAGAGTCCAAAGGCTGAAGAACCTGGAGTCTGATGTCCAAGGGCAGGAAGAGCGGAAGGAAGCATCCAGCTTGGGAGAAAGATGAAAGCCAGAACACTTAGCAAGCAAGGTCATCCCACCTTCTTTTGCCTGCTTTGTTCCAGCTGTACTCACAGCCGATTGGATGGTGCTCACCCACACTGAGGATGGGTATTCCTCGCCAACTCCACTGACTCGAATGTCAATTTCCTCTGGCAGCACCCTTACAGACACACCCAGAAACAATACTTTTACCAGCTATCTAGGCATCCTTCAATCCAATCAAGTTGACACCTAATATTAATCATCACAGCCTATGATAAACACAACAGCTAGAGATCAGTTTTAAAATCACAGATCAATTCACATGATGCTTATGCTTTCAAAACTTTCTGACAGCTTCTCATCGTACTTTTAATGAAAGTCACAGTCCTCACCCTAGCTCACAGGGTCGTACAAGCCCTCAGAAATCTGCTCCCTGCTATCTTTCTCACACCAACTCCTACCACTCTCCCCATCCCCGGCCACTCCCTTCTAGCCACTGTGGCCTCCATGAGGTGCCTCAAATGCACCCGCACACACTCACCCCGGGGCCTTTGCACAGTGGTTCCCTCTGCCTGGATGTTCTTTTTGCTGACTCCCTCACCTCCTTCAGTTCTAGGCCCAGGTGCCAGTTTCTCATTAAGGCCTTCTCCAGCTACCCTGTTTACAATTTAAACACATACACACACACACACACACACACACACACACACACACACACACAGGAACTCTTTCCTCCTTTCCTGCTTTATTTTTCTTCATCACATCTAGTATTACCATCTCACACCTATATATTTTTTGCATTTGTTTTGTGTACTATTTCTCTGAACTAGAAAGTAAGATCTGAGAAGGCAGGTATTTGGGTTCATGCCATTCACTTCTGTGTCCCCAGCATCTAGGACGATTACACAGTGGGTGCTCCAAAAGTATATGCTGATTGAGTGAATGAAGAAATAAATGACTAATGGAGACACTGCACTTGCTTAATAGAAAAATACACTTGTTATGAAAGCAGAATGCACAAATATATACACTCAGAATGAGTTTACTTACACAAAATAAATATACGTCTTGCAGAAGAAAGAGACTGGAAGGAAATTCAGCATCATGTGGACAGTGGTTAAATTTAGTGGCAGTAGTATTAATAATTATTATATTCTTCTCAGTACTTTTCTGCAGGGACCAATTTTCTACTGTGGCCACGTGTAAAATATTTTAGCTGAGGGGAAATGCTTGGTTTGGTCTTGTTTTTTAAAAAATGAAAGTTGAAACATGAAAGAGTTTTGATGGATTAATCAGTTTAATGATCATTTCCACAGCACAAAAGACAGGCAACATATTAAATGCCTGCTGCGTATGTCATCCTGTGGCGAGACATGAAGGAAGATACAGTCCTACATTATCCTGTGTTTAGGCCCAATGCCTGGCTTGTCCCACGTGCTCATTAAGAGTTTAAGAATGGAAAGAAGAGTGGAAAGGAAAGAGAAAGGAAGAGATGGAGGAAGAAGGAAAGGAGGGAGAAAGAAGGAGAAAGGGAAGAAGTGAGAAAGGGAGGCAAGAAAGGGGAGAAAGGGGAGGGGAAGGAAGGGAAGGGAAAGGGGGAGGGGAGGAGGGAGGGAAGGGGGAGGGGGGAGGGGGGAGGGGAAGAGGAAGAGGAGGGGGAGGGGAGGAGGGAGGGGAGGGAAGGAAAGAATATGAGAGAGGGAGAGAGGAGGGAGGAAACCTATATACATCAAAATCTCATCCTCTATCATGATGGAGTCTGAAGGCTTCTCCCCCAGTTCCTGGCTGGGGTGGGGCCACCTAGGGAGGCCAGTTCTTAGGCTGAGGCAATCATCTGTTGGGCAAACACTATGTGTCAGACCCCAGATAACTTGGGGTCCAACCATGCACAAGTGCCTTCAATTCTCTGAGGCTTTGAGCTCCACTGCACAATGGGATGTTCACATCAGCACCCCTTTTAATGTCTCTTAGTCCACATAATGAACTGATGAGATAGGCATTATTCACCCCAATTTAAACATGCAACACTGAGGTGACAAGAGAGGATACAGCCCCTGTCCAAAGTCATACACACAACTATTAAATAGCAGAGACAGATTTGATCCTATTCTCCAAAGCCTTTTATTTTCCCTAACTATGCATGCTTCCTTGGAAAGGGCATTTGAGTGTGAAAGCAGATCTTGGAAAGAGGGGAGTCTCTAAGGCTAAGAAACAAGCGTGCTGGACCTTGGGCCATTTAGGCGCTGGTTCTCTGTGCTCTGATGGTAAGCAGACATCTTTGCATCTCCACACCCGCCGGGAGTGAAATCTTCTGTGTTCAAGAGACTGTAGTTCACCCAAGGTCAGGGTAATTGTGCATGATTAATGGTTGTCTCTTCGTGAAAGACCCACACAAAAGCTCCAAACCAACTTAGTCGTAATTTCATACTTCTCCCAGTCCACTTAGAAGAACGGGGTTTTATTTCCTGTGTGCACAGCCACGAAATCAGAATCTTCAGCTCAGGAAAAGAGCTTTTAAACCTCTGATTCACAGACCGTGTTTTGCCAAGGCCAGGGCCAGACAGCAAGGAATGTGTCTGGCCCCTTTAGGTAAGAAGGAAAAGAGAGGTTATAATAGAAAGAAGGGGGAATTGTCAATTGCTCACCGTGCACCAAGCATCATCCCATGTTTGTTAGATGAGTTAACTCCCTCAATCCTCAAATCCAATCTGTGATTATCTCCATTTTACTAAGGAAACTGAGGCACAGAGAGGATAAGTAGTTTAGGTCACATGGCTACAGTTAGGGAGCCAGGATTTGAACCTTGATCATCTGGCTCCAGAACCAGGTGTTAAGGAAGCCCTGTCCAGCTTCATGTTTTAGATAGACTCCAAATCTTCACGGTGGTCGTAAGTCAAATCAACTTGATTGACAGCTCAGTGTAAAGTGGTTTCTTTACAAGCAACGACCCTATGCCCATCAAAACTAGAGTTGTCACCCTTCCAATGGCTCATGTCGTATCGCCTACCTGTCCCCACCCCAAGATCCATCCAAACTGCCCCTTTGGTGTCAGCCATGCCCAGTGACCTTCTATTTCCCCGTGGGCGTGGTGCTTTTGCATCTCTCCACACCTTTGCACCTGTTGTGCTCCCCTGCCTGGAATGCCGGTCTTGTCCAGCGTTTGCCTACTTAGTCTCGTCGAGCCTTTGCCTACTTGGCCAAATCCGGCTCACCTTTCGTGACTCAGGTTGAGCATCTCCCCCAACAAATAGTGACGAGTGGATGAAGCAAAACATTAAATCCAAGTTCACTAACTGGCATCCCATGGTCCAGATGTGTTCTTCAACAGAATGTGGTTTGGCCACATGGTGCTTTTAGCAATTTGAATTCATTGCTATAATTTTTAAAGTAGGAGATATCACCTTAAAAAAATTTGGAGTTCTGGAGGTTCTTGAAAAGCCGGACGATCTGGTGACTGGACCTAAAACCTTGTATAGCCACAACTGGCTGGAGCTGGGCAGTGGCTGTCCCCTTTGGTGGATGGGATACGGGCTCTCCAGACCACCAGAGCCCCCTCCACCCCCATCGCTGCCTACCTTATTCATGTATCACCCTATGTTAGGGTTCTCTAGAGGGACAGAACTAATAGGACAGATGTATATATAAAGAGGAGTTTATTAAGGAGTATTAACTCACACGATCACAAGGTAAGGTCCCACAATAGGCCATCTGCAAGCTGAGGATCAAGGAAGCCAGTCCGAGTCCCAAAGCTGAAGAACTCGGAGTCTGATGTTCGAGGGCAGGAAGCATCCAGCATGGGAGAAAGATGCAGGCCAGAAGACTAAACCAGTCTAGTCTTTCCACATTCTTCTGCCTGCTTTTTATTCTGGCCACACTGGCAGCTGATTAGATGGTGCCCACCCAGATTGAGGGTGGGTCTGCCTTTCCCAGTCCACTAATTCAAATGTTAATCTCCTTTGGCAACACCCTCAGAGACACACCCAGGAAAAATACTTTGCATCCTTCAGTCCAATCAAGTTGACACTCAATATTAACCATCACACACCCCCATCTTGCCCGTGTAGGTCTTGGAGTTTTTAAGACTTGCTCTATAGGACAGTCTGCAAAATAGAAGTTTGGAAGCACAGAAAGGGAGTCTCTGCTCTGAATTGCCCCTTTCCATTGTGGTGCCTGCCTGGCCTTGCCCTCTGCAGGACATATTATATAACAAATCAGGCCACTGGCTCCAGAAGTGTGTGATAGGAAAAACCATATCCCATTCACTTATTTATTTCACAAATATTTTTTGGAGGACTCACGACGTGCAAGGAATTCTGTCTAATTGGCATGCATTTCAGGGAAGCTGCCAGAAGACAGTCACCTCTAACCCTCTAACTTTTTCTCTTTTCTCCTGAAACCTTTAAAATGCAACTTCGCCATG
Source organism: Homo sapiens (assembly GCF_000001405.40). NCBI lineage: Eukaryota > Metazoa > Chordata > Mammalia > Primates > Hominidae > Homo > Homo sapiens. The sequence goes on from NC_000012.12 coordinate 115,638,753, forward strand.
CTGTATCCAAGTTTCTAAGCCTTAGAAATTTCATCTCTTGCAAATGGACCATTAAAGACGCCCTCCCTGCCTCCTCTTGGCAACTCCTTTAGTGGTTGATGTGGCTCTTTGAGTGTGTCTTTCAGATGCTCTGGGTCTCGGCTAATCTACAGCTCGCTTTCATGTGTGCTTAGTTACAGACAATGAGGGGAAGCAGCCCAGGACTGTGCCTCCTAGTCAGGCTCATTACAGCATCCTCGGCCTGTGTAGAAGATGCGGATACCTTGCCCCAAACCCAGCCTGGCAACTTTTATTGGAGCTTAGGCTTTAACTGGGGATTTTAAAGAGCTGGAGGTTTTATGGGAGACAGCTGGAATGCCAATCCCTATAGGTAGCTGCAGCCGGAGCCTCCAGAAAGGAAACAGTGGGTTTCCAGGCAGACCAGTTCAGCCTCCTCACGCCCAGGGGAGGAAGGAAGGAGGTGACTGCCAGCTGCCCTCTGATCTTTGAACCTGGGCCTGTCAGCTTCACAGGGGAGCAGCAGAGCATTCAGTCAACCCGAGGATCCCTGTTCTCTCCACCTGGGATACCTCACCCAGCCCCGACCTCCACTGTCCTGAGTGCAATAGCCCCCACCCTTGCCTGTCTGTCCTCACCGATGGGTAAGGCTGTTCATGAACAAGGACACCACACAGCAGGATTGTGGCGGGTCTTCCAGTAGAATCATACTGTATTTTCCTGATTCTTCGCTGGCTAGTGATTCCAGAAACCCAGACCACAGGTGGTTGCCATGGCAACTGGGCTCAGATTTTTTTTCTTTTTTTTTTTTTTTTAACTGTGTTGTATATCCAAGAGAAGGAGGGCACATTTGGGGAAGGGGTGGGGATGGTGGAGGAAGCTCCATCAGATTTACCTTCCTGCTTCTGGCCTTTTATCTCAGGCTGAGACCACAGCCACTGTGAGAGGACCAGGGAGTAATTCCTGGAGGGATTCCGCAGGGCGCAATCAGAGGGCCTTTGGGGGGTTTCCGAGGCCTCCCCTCTCCATTTCCTTCCTAATTGTGACATCATGAACGCCCTAACAAGTTAGGCATGTGGAAGGCTCCAATTCCTGCCTGCCCTCTCCCTTCCCCCACCGCCTCTCCCAGCTACAGATACTGACCCAGACCTGCAGAAAGAAGGACATCCAGTCTGGAGACCTAGGCTGTGTGACCCTAGGAAATACACTTTGCTTCTCTGGGCCTCAGTTTTCCCATCTGTAAAGTGGAGTAGGTGGACCAGAAAAAAAAAAAAAAAAGACAATTAGGTTTTCTCTCAGCTGCCATTTCTCAACTATCGGTAGAGGCTGTCTGAAGCACTCTGTCGAGAAGTCAGTTAGCAAATATCCGGGTTCTACTTTGCCATTTTTATAAAACACATCCACAGCTTCACCTGCAGGCTGCGGTTTTGGCTTTTTTGAGGTAGGAAACAAAAGTTGCTGCAAAGCAGTCTAAAGGAAGAATCCTTCCAAATCATCAAGATCATTTTCCTCCTCATCTCTTAAATTTTCTCATCCACACCTAATTCAATGGCAAGTGTTTTTAGCAACTCAAATCCAATTGGGCGTTCTAAAGCATGCAGTTTCATTTTTATGAATGCAATTCTTCTTTTACACACTCATTTTCATTGGCTGATATGAAATTTTATTAAATTGCATAATTACAATAACAAGAAGGGGTAGATTCAGCTTTGTGGGATCTGAAGCTTATACAATTTGGAAGCTCTTTCAGAGGAAAAAAAAGAAAATTATAAACATAAATTTACCTACAAAACATAGATGCTTATTTAGAATGAGAAAATGTCACAATATGAATCACAAGTTTCTGCTTTTTTAAACATGAAAATACTACAAATATCACAAAATCCAGAAGGTGATCATAATATTTGTATTAATTAACTACCTCTCACACCACTAAAATATTTTTTATCCTACAACTTCTGGCTACAGACTCTTAATCATTTCTTCTTTACACAGTAATTTGGGAATAATACATTCTACAGGAAGAGTAGAATAATTCAGTATTTTCTTAAGCACAGTTGATTAAATGGTTTTTATATTTGAAATACATAAAATACGCAACTTCATGTACAGAAATAATCACCATTGGTATACTGCTTCAGGGTGTGCCCAGGACCCACAGAAATGGATAAATTCTATTTTACATGATTCCCATTCAATAAAAAAAGGAATATGGGGTATGTATACCTGGTAAAGCTGTACTTACAAGCAAATTTCTGCTAGAAAGGAACTTCTATTTTGACGAGTTGTCATTCTAAAGGAATCCTCTTACAGTTTTGTGGGTTTGATGACTGAGCATTCTGATTCTCTACAGTTCAGAGTTTCTCTTCCACAACCCACATACCTCTGGTGCCAGGCAACACAAAACATATTCATATTGTGACATGTTCTCTGACTCTGCACCTGAGTATCACAACATCAGTAAGTAGGCATAGTAAGAGGAGGAACAGTTCTAGAACCCATTCCTACATTGGGATGGCTAGAAACAACTGCACAAAGAAATGACTTTAATTCACACAAATATATCGCATTAAAGCCAGTCTAAATATATTCCTAAATCAGCTTTATTTTAACAGTCATTCTAGTGGCCCCAGACATTTGGGAGGAATGCAAAGAGACTTGTTTTAACCAATACAATTTAAATATTTTATTTTGAAAAATGTTGAAAAACATCATGAGATATATCTGATAATGGACTTTATCCAAAATATATGAAGAACTCTTAAAACTCAACCACAAGAAAATGAACAACCTGATTTAAAAAAATGGGGAAAAGACCTAAAGAGACACCTTGCCAAAGAAGACACACAGATGCCAAGTAAGCAAGTGAAAAGATGTTTCACATCCTAGGTCATTAGGGAACTGCAAATAAAACAACAATGGGATACCACAAAACACCTATTAGAATGGTCAAAATCCAAAACACGGACAACACCAAATGCTGACGAGGATGTGGAGCAATAAGAACTCATATTCATTGCTGGTGAGAATGCAAAATGGTGCAGCCACTTTGCAAGACAGTTTGGCAGTTTCTTAAAAAAGCTAAACATACTCTTACCATAAAATCCAAAAATCATACTCCTTGATATTTACCCAAATGTATTGACAACTTATATCCACACAAAAGCCTGGACATGGATGTGTAGGCAGCTTTATTC